>NC_000002.12:26909870-27062620 GCF_000001405.40 Homo sapiens | reverse complement strand
GTCCTGTTTCCCCTATTAAGTTTCAAGTCAATCAACCAGGAATTACTTAGTACTGACTGTGCATATTTTCTATTGGTAGGGGGAAGTAACAGAGAAATAGAATACATGTCCTTCACCTCAGGGGGCTCAATGCAGTGTTGTGCATTGGAAGCGGGGCAGGGAGGATGTCAATAAAATAGTGATTAAAAAGTGCCTAGCCGGACGCCATGGCTCATGCCTGTAATCCCAGCACTTTGGGAGGCCGAGGCGGGTGGATTGCCTGAGGTTGGGAGTTCAAGACCAGCCTGACCGACATGGAGAAACCCCGTCTCTACTAAAAATACAAAAAAAATTAGCGGGTGTGGTGGTGCATCCCTGTAATCCCAGCTAATTGGGAGGCTGAAGCAGGATAATCACTTGAACTTGGGAGGAGGAGGTTGTGGTGAGCCGAGATCATGCCATTGCACTCCAGCCTGGGCAACAAGAGTGAAATTCCGTCTCAAAAAAAAAAAAAAAAAAAAAGGCCTAGATGGGCACAGTGGTTCATGCCTGTAGTCCCAGCACTTTGGGAAGCTGAGGCGGGTGAATCCGCCTGAGGTCAGGAGTTCAAGACCAGCCTAGCGAACATAGTGAAATCTTGTCTCTACTAAAAATACAAAAAATTTGTTGGGCGTGGCGGCGGGTGCCTATAATCCCAGCTACTTGGGAGGCTGAGGCAGGAGAATCGCTTGGACCCAGGAGGCAGAGGCTGCAGTGAGCCGAGATTGCACCATTGCACTCCAGCCTAGGTAACGAGCGAAACTCTATCTCAAATAAAAAAAAAAAAGAGGGGCCTAGAATATTCCAGTGACAACCTAGAAAAAGCTCTTTACTATTTCCCTTTGTAGTCAGGAAAGGAGAACTTAGGATGCTGATGAAGGAATTCCCAGGAACTATGAGTTAAGAGCTAGAAGAGGCTGACCAAAAAAGAATGAGGTTGGGTGCAATGGCTCACGCCTGTAATCCTAGCACTTTGGGAGGATGAGGCTGGTGGATCACCTGAGGTCAAGAGTTCAGGACCAGCCTGGCCAACATGGTGAAACCCGTCTCTACTAAAAATACAAAAATTGGCCGGGCACAGTGGCTCACGCCTGTAATTCCAACACTTTGGGAGGCCGAGGCAGGCGATCACGAGGTCAGGAGTTCAAGACCAGCCTGACCAACGTGGTGAAACCCCGTCTCTACTAAAAGTACAAAAATTAGCCAGACGTGGTGGCGTTTGCCTGTAGTCCCAGCTATTCCGGAGGCTGAGGCAGGAGAATCACTTGAACCTGGGAGGCAGAGGTTGCAGTGAGCCAAGATCGCACCACTGCACTCCAGCCTGGGCAACAGAGCAAGACTCGGTCTCAAAAAAAAAAAAAAAAAAAAAAAATTAGCTGGATGTGGTGGCATGCACCTGTAATCCCAGCTACTCGGGAGGCTAAAGCAGGGGAATCGCTTGAACCCAGGGGGTGGAAGGTTGCAGTGAGCTGAGATCACACCACTTCACTCCGGCCTGGGTGAAAGAGTGAAACTCTGTCTCAAAAAAAGAAGGAAAGGAAAAGAAACAGAAGAAAAACTTTAAGCAGATTTACCATGGGAAACTAGGCCACTGGAGCATGAGAAGATACAAGTTGGAACAGCTGTGCAATCTTGGAGAAACCACTCTTAAATAGCCTCAGTTTACTTGTTGGAAAAATGGAAACAACATCCATCCCATAGCGTCTTTGTGAGGATTAAATGAAATTTATATATATGATATTATCTTGTTCACTGTTAAATGCTATGTAAACATAAGGCATTATTATTATTTTTCAAACACAGTGCACAAGTGTCCTTTCCTGATGAAGATAGACTCTCAAACAATGGGGCCTGGAAGCAGATAATCAAGTTGCCTGTCAGGGATAGAATATCTCAATGGTCACAGCTGGTAAGGACCATTGCCCTCTCCTCCATGGCTTCTCTCACTAGCAGTCAGATTTACACAGCCACTGACACAGCACATGTCTGGTCTGTACCAACAGCTAGGGTGCAAGCTGGGAAAAGCTAACAAGGATGAGTATGCTGGAAGACCAGCAAAGCTCTTAGCCCCAGCTGACAAGCCTCCATACTCTGGGCAAGACTTCTGTAGTGCAGAGGCCAGTACAGTATTGATTTGTGGTTTAGCGTATTTCCAGAAGTGGCACTATAACAATCTCTCCCCCTCCGCAATCCAGGTTACTCCCGTTAATTTTCTCTTCTTTTTCCCTAAAGGCCCATCTGTTTCTGGTATATAATTTTGACCCAGAATCTTATCAGGCAGGGTCTCATCAGGCAAAACCTGGGGGTTACTAATGCACAGTTAAGCAACTGTGCTCACTGCTGGAAAGAGCTAGACTGCTGCATTTTATACCTAGAAAAGAAATTGTCTGCAGTTGTTCCATTTTTCTTTGGAAGAGTTAGAATCCTTCTGATATCACTTTCTTTTCTTTTTTTGAGGCAGAGTCTTGCTCTGTTGCCCAGGCTGGAGTGCAGTGGCACGATCTTGGCTCACTGCAACTTCTGCCTCCTGGGTTCAAGCGATTCTCCTGCCTCAGTTACCTGAATAGCTGGGATTACAGGTGTGCACCACCATGCCTGGCTCATTTTTGTATTTTTAATAGAGACGGGGTTTCGCCATGTTGGCCAGGCTGTTCTTGAACTCCTGGCCTCAAGTGATCTGTCTGCCTCAGCCTCCCATAGTGCTGGGATTATAAGCATGAGCCACTGCACCCAGCCCGGTATCACTTCCTTAATGAGCTCTGAAGCCAGGAAAAATTTCAGCCCATAAAGACCACAGATAAGATTCCCCATCATTCTACAGTACTGCAGTTTGGATTCTGAGGACATTCCCTTAACTGCCCCCATGAAGACAGACTGACATTGTCCGTGACGTGGAGGCTCCATGTCCTGTTTGGCACTGCTTCAGCTAGTGTTTCATCCTTGGAAACTTCCCTGGCTCCTAGCATGCACTGAAGCCCAGATACCCAGACTTCCCCCTCTGGCCACACACAATACCGCTCTGGAATCATGCCGCAGGGAACACCAAGGTCGTAGGAGAGGCCACAGGTTCTGCTACAAACTAATTTTATTGATTCACCCCTTGGTCCTGGGCCAACAGTATATCTTCAAGCTCTTACTTCCCCCAGCAATGCCCCAGACAACCGAACACATGTTGCAGGGGCTCCCAGACTGGCTTACCTCTGACGGGGCCCAGCACCCGGTGGGTGACCTTTTGGGTACTAGAGCCCAGGCCTGGCAGCCCTGCAGGCCGACTGCCATGAAAAGGAAAGCTGGGGGAATTCTTCATCTGTGGAGAATTTTGTTGGCTGCTGCTGCTACCACCGGCACTTGTGCCGGTGCTAAAACTTCGTGCCCGACTCAAGGTGTTTTCGGAGCAGGAGACAGGCAACCCACTGCAAAGAAGCAGATGCCAGTTAACCCGGGCCAGGAAGGTTGTGTCCTAAGGCTTTCCCTAGGATCTGCTGCTCAGTAAAGCTTCACCTCTGGGGTAAAAAGGCACAGGGACCCATCCCAAGGAAGAAGTGAGGAATTCATGTCCGTGGATGAAGTATCTAACCTGGGGAATACCAGCTAATCTCAAAATGTCTTAAGGGCCATCCCTGAGCAGCTTTATCTCCCAATGAATTTCACCCCTACTGCCTTGGCACTGACCCTTGAACTCCCTTCAGTCAGTCATTCACAACCCTTGGAAGCTGAGGCCTGCCCCACTGCAATTATATTTGATTTTGTACAGGGCTCTGCAGCAGTGAATCCCAAGCCTGATACTCAGATCTCTTAGGTGTATGTAGCTCAGAATAAAAGGGAAGAGGATCCCATTCTAAAAGAATAAACTAATCTGACTAATTTTAATTTACCCTGAAGATATTTGCCATTTGGCACTTTGAGGAGGATGGAAGGAATATAAATCCCTTGGAACTCCTAGCTCTAGAGCCCTGTCCCACTGTCCTACCCTTTCTCCCTCCTATTTTGCTGGCCTTACTTGTGACTTTTGGGTGGAGTTCGAAGGCCCCTCTTCTTGTTGACACCCACATTCAGAGTGCTGCTTAGGCCTCGGCTGTTGCGTACATGTTTCAGCATCCAGGCCCGTAGATTAGTAAGGCTGCTGTGCTCTGACAGTACAATTCGGGGCCACGGATTACATTCCGCCATGTCCAGGGCTGCAATGGCCATAGCTCGTCCCACCTGTGGGGTAGTCCAGTTTGGCTCAGCATGCTGGTCCTCCCATCCAGGCTGCTACCTTGGGGTGGGTACACAGCACAGTGGAAGGGAAGGAGGGGCCAGACCTATAATTTGCTCATTGGATGCCCTAACCTTTGTGCCCAGGCTGTTTATTGCAAACGGATTTGGAGCTGTTCCCTAAACTACCGCCAATTTGGGGGCCCTCTTCCATTATGAGGGGCAAAGTGTGTCCTTTCTTTCTGGCTGGTGCCATGAAGGAATTCTCCTAGCAGGAAAGGGGTTTGAATCCCTTCTGTAACCTACAGATCTACTTTTTTTTTTTTTTGAGACGGCATCTTGATCTATTGCCCAGGCTGTAGTACAGTGGCGTGTGATCTCGGCTGACTGCAACCTCTGCCTCCCGGGTTCAAGTGATTCTCCTGCCTCAGCCTCCTGAGCAGCTGGGACTATAGGCATGTGCCACTATGCCCAGTTAATTTTTGTATTTTTAGTAGAGATGGGGTTTCACCATATTGGCCAGGCTGGTCTTGAACTCCTGACCTCAGGTGATCCGCCTGCCTTGGCCTCCCAAAGTGCTGGGATTATAGGCATGAGCCACCGCACCTGGCCAGCTCTTTCTATTAGGATAATGGGAATCATCAAGACCACTACAGTCAGGGTGCTTTTGAGCCCAGAAACTAATAAATCCAATAGAATGAGAAAGACAAGCCCAGAGGCAAAGAATCTGACTCAGAGGTGCTAGGGGATTCTCTGTGATGTGGGGTCAGATATAGTGCCTGTTCATCCTTTCAATACTATTACAGTTGTAGTTATGCTCCTGTTAACTGAGGAAAATAATCATAGTGGTGAGACGGCCATAGTGATGAATATCTCTTCAAAGGACCTTAGAGTCAGGCACTAAGAGTGAAGGCCTTTCCAGACTGTAAGGTTTCTCCCTTTTCCCACTTACACCATGTATTCATACCTGCTCAAATAGTTCCACAGTGTATCTGGAGGGGAAAGCCGGCGGGGGAGGGGGGCTGGCACGCCCATTGTCATGGCAGGCAGCAGGGATGCTGTTTACTGAGCGTCCAGTGTTGTAGTTGCATTCAAGTGTGTAGCTAAGACATAAAGACCTTTATCAGTGTCCCGCCTGAACAGATACCAGGACAGAACCATAGAGGACAACTTAGGTGGTCAAAGGAGGCAATCACTTGGAAAAAAGTGAACACAAATGAAAGTGCTAATAATCCATAGCAACTAGCAGCTGACCTTGGTACTGTACCATATACCCAGAGAGTCCCCCCAAGGTAGAGTCCTAGACTAAAGACAATAATGCTAATTGTGAGGTTCTCTTTTAAGAAGACTAAGGTGGTTCCCTCCCTCTCAAACACCCTGAACTGGGTGTTGTTTTTTGTTTTTTTTTTGAGACGGAGTTTCGCTCTTGTTGCCCAGGCTGGAGTGCAATGGCACGATCTCGGCTCGCCACAACCTCTGCCTCCCAGGTTCAAGCGATTCTCCTGCCTCAGCCTCCTCAGTAGCTGGGATTACAAGCATGCACCACCACACCCAGCTACGGTGTTTTCTTTAGGGAAGCTATTTCATCAACTATATCTCAGCTTCCACCCAACCTGTGGATTATCCCTGAGGCTTTGTAGATTGCAACACGGCCGCTTCCCTCTTTAGACTGGCCATCTCTACGGTCTCGGGCATACATATTCTTCTCTGAGAAATTGCAGCCCTGGAAGTCGAAGTGGGCTGAATTCAAGGAGATGAGCTTTGGATATAGCATGTTTTCCACCTGTTTGGGGAAGAAAAGTCAACTCAGAAGGAGAGACAGAAGGGACAAGGTGCAAGGAAGAGATAGCAAGTATGTGACCATGTGACTTAATACACAGCAGATACCATCACAACCATTAACAGTAATCAGTGCTGCCTGAATTCTCAGTTTGACATTACTTCTAGGTGTTGGGAAGCAATTCTTTTTTTTTTAAGCTTTTAGCTTCCTCCCTCCAACAATGCAAAATTTTCCTTCTCTGGATTCCCAGACTCTAGCAGACTATAATGCAGTTAGCTTTCCTTAATAAAAGGTCATGATGTAACAATTGAGACATTATCCCCCTGTGCCATCTCTTCTTGGCCCTTCAAAGCTTTTTCAGAGGTAGTCTACACAGGCCTTCCTTCCAGAAAGCTACCTAAGGCTATCTTCCTTCTGTTCATGGCCTAACCCCATCTCCTAACCTGTAACACTTCTCACACTCACATGACATTCTTAGGATTCCCACCTGGGTGCTCTCATCACTAAAGCTGTTTCCGTACATGAAGCAGCCCCTTTTGGAAGCATGTCCATGCAGGTCCACATAGTAAGCAACGCCACTCTCTTTGGGGGGGATGGTATCAGGGGCTGACTCTTCAAGCCCCGCAGACTGTTGTGGCATAATCCACACACTGTTGAGCTTCTGTTCTGCTGGCTCTGTTTGTTTCCAGGCTTCAGCGTTATGCCTGTCAGCTGAGTGCCCACACTGAGCTTCATTTTGGAGATTGTTGGCTTTCTCCAGGTCAGAAACAGGAGCATCAGGAGGGAGACAGGAACTGGGCTGGTGCTCAGAGGAACTCTGGGAGTTCAGACGAGAGTGCACATGGTGGTAGAGAAGCACAGCTTTGGCCCCATAGATGGCCGGGTGCAGGACGGCATCAGGCTTCAGGTACTGACGGTTCAGATTCACTCCACGTGAGTCTGTGCTGTAGGAAAACAAGGACTGAAGCAGGTTCTAGAGGACTGGGCCAGTGAAGGAGACACTAGTGTAGATGAAAAGGAGACCGTAGGAGACTGACTTATCAAATGAGAGGCTGAAGCTATGTTAGGAAAGAAAGAATTGAAGACAGGGCCTCTCTTTGATCTGCTGTCACCCTTACCATAGAACCCTAAGGAGCTTCCTCAGGGTAGCTGCCTCCACCCAGATGGGCCTGCAGTCATCCTAGTTTGGTTCCTTTCTGGGAGTGCCACTAGATATGATCTCATGCTTTCTCAGGAAGATGAGATGGGCTTGCCTTTATTAGGGTGCAAGAGGACTGGGAACACAGAAGCCAGAAGGCTGACAGAATTTCACTGAGATGCAGGGCATGAGGGGAAATGGGAACAGTCCAGACAGGCTGGGGAAGCCACTTACCGGTAGTGTCCCCGGACCACACCATCGGGGTTCAACATGGGAATCAGCTTAAAGACGAAGAGGCGACGGAGGGTTTGGGCCCGGGGATCATCAGGTCGGAGGATGAAGTCCAGAAAGCCATTGAAGACAAAGCTAGATGGAGTCTCCCCTGGGTGTACTCTACTGCTTAAGAAGAATATCTGAGGTAGAGAGGAGAGCAGACATTAAGTCAGTTACCCTGTAGTTCTACTTTGACAGTATATGGGGGGTGTCATGGATGAGGCAGGAATAGCCGCTGGATTTCCAGCTGGCTGAATCTGCAAGTGGAGCAGGGGCCATCACCCTTGCCGCACGCTGCGGGCGGAGGCCATGTCCAAGATGCCTAGAGATAACATAGTCTTTAGCTATAAACAGTACCTGGTGCTAGAGAAAAGCCAAAGAACTACCTTTATGCTATTTCCACTCACCCTCTTGCCTGCGAAACGGAATGGTCGAGGGGTGCTGGTATCAGGAAATAGCTGCTCTAGACGGGGCTCTCGATCTTCTCGAAGCCCATGGCAGGAAGTGATCGTCAGCAGATCTACACGAAGTCCATCCAGAGAATAGCAAAGGAGCTCCCGATGGTAATAGATGGTATCCAGGGGGCTACAGGGAAAAAAAAATTAAGCCAGGAGAAGTCCCTAAAGTCCTAGTAAGAGGTAGGCCTTGTCACCAGCCCAGGATCTGTAAAATCTGGTCCTTCACCCTAACCTTTGGGGCCTTATAGTCCCTCACAATGTTAAATGAGGCTAAGGATTTGAGTGGGTTTACATTGCCAGAATGAAGAGTACAGGACAGGGTGAACTTGTTGTTCCCCAGTTTGTGGCTTCCTAGAATAGATTACTTAATGTAGTCGGAGTTGTTCTCCGTGGGGGCAGATAAAAAAGGTATACTGAGTCACATAATGCTGGCTAAACTCTGGATAATTAATGGGAGCTGGGCTAGTAAGAGGTCTGAACTGGGCAGGTGAAAGAGTGGAGGGCAGGTGTCGATATGCTGAGATCAGGGTCATACAGAAACATAGTTTTCAAAGGTACCCAAAGTCCTGTCTGTACATTCTGTACAGAAAAAAGACGGATGAAAGTATGGTTCAGAGCTCTAAGAGCAAATTCCAGAAGTAGTGGAGGTGCTGTCTGATCCAGGACTGTGTGGCAGGAGTAAGAATGGGGCTGGCACCTGCTATGGGTAGGGTGGTTCTCCGGAAAGCGCTGGTCTAGCTGGTTTAGCAGTTCCTGGCAGTCACTGTAGGAGAAGGGGTAGCAGAAGGCGAAGAAGGTGGTGGCCCCACGGCCCTCCACGAAACGATGAACAAAGGATAACACAAACTGCGTCTCTGTCATCTGAAGAGCAGAGGAGGAAGAGGGAGGGGCAACATGCCATTGTCAGAACTGAGCTCCTACTGGGACCACCAGGAACTGACCTCACACCCTTATCACCTTTACCAACTTCCCTCCCTGTGACACTTTCTATATGAAAAGTGGCTCCTTCTAGGCTTCCTGAGGCAGGGGCTCATCTTGGACTCTAGCTAACACTGGAGAAAAAGCTGATACTTAAACCTGTTGTCCCACCTGCTTCATACTTGTATCAAGGAAAAAAAAACGCTTTACTTTCCTCTCTACTTTTAGCACCCAAGTCTTTCTTTCCTCCTCATGGAGAACTTACCTCAAAGGTGGGCCGGTCTCGAATGCGTTCCCAGCGTGGCCGGGTGGGCAGTGTGCGCACAAAGGGGGCCATGCCCTGGGAATACAGCTTGCTCTGCTTGTTCATGTTCATAATGTTGATCTTGATGAGTTTTCCTGGCATTCCTCCCCGGACGCTGAAGTAGAACCATGACCTGAGGACCAGAGTAAGAGAGAGGTCATTACGTGTGGAAGGGTTGGAGATATGGTCTGTGGGAGAGCCGGAGCCAGCCAAACTGGGAAAGGGCTATTTGGCAAGGAGAAAGGAGGGACGATGGGTCAGAAATGGACAGGGAGTATGCTGGGTATGAACAGATAAGTCAGAGGGCTAACTGAAGCATGGGTTTGGAGCCTTTTTCCACCCTCCATTTCGTTCCATATACCTGTTCCCATTCTCAAATTCCGTTTCAGCACAGTCTGGTCGGGTCCACACGTTGAATTCATAGTCAGGGGAAGAGGCAATGCCACTGGTCAGGGCTGACGCCCCACCTCCTACCCCTTCCCCATCACTGGACAAAGATTCCACCTTCTCCACGTGGGCTAGATTCCCTGAATCAAAGCGAGAACTGAACAGCAATCCCCCACAGCGCAGCTCCATGGTGGGGCTGGGAAAGCATCCTCCTGCCCCGCTCTGGCCCTGAGAGCTGGGGGAAAACAAGGGTTAGGTTAAGGAGGAAAGGGAAGACAAATCGAAGAGTTTTCTGGGTATCTCTTGATAAATAAGAGCTATTCTTAGGGAGTGCCCTATGAAACAAAAGGCTGTCTCCCTCTTAGAAAACATAGAAGTGGTCTTCCAGCAAAGGCCAAGAGAAAGCAGCATTCTGTACCCCAACACTAAGGGTTGTAAATGACCTAAAGGGACCCCATTTTACTTTAGCTTGGCTGTTCCCAAATAAAACTCAGTGGCTTAACTATGTTGAAAAACACTAAACTCTCAGCTGCTTTGCAGCCCAAAGATTAGAGAATATAATCAGAGAGGTCAGATTTTCCAAACCTAGCCAAGATACACTCACCACCATACATGGCCACCTTTAGAGATGGGCCGTTCTGGATCTCTGGCTCTGCACTCTCCAGCACAGAGCAGAGAGAGGAATCGAGGTTCTGAGTGTAAATGGGTAGTCCTCTCTCCAGCCTCTGTCCTCACAAGTACTGAGCGGACATTCTGGTGTTGCTCCCCTGAGCCCTGGAAGGGCTGGTTCTTCCTTTTTTGTTCCTACCTTATGCCTAGTATGGAGAAAAACTATAACAGTGGTGCCTCTGCCAAGCCAAAGGCTACTGGGCTCACCTAGCGACTGGAGCTCCCTTCCAGCCAGGGCATGGGTCTGTTTCCATCCCCCTCCGCCCCGTAAGCACTGCACCCTGAGAAAGCTACCCTAGTAGCTGTGGATGAGTAATGGGTGTTCTCAGCACCCCTAAAAGAGGTGGGCTGCTAGAGTCCCACTCGGGGGAAGGAGGCTGGCTTCTCCACCCTCGACTCGCGGGGAACCGTCACACCGAGCGGGCTTGCCCTGGGCAGGGTGGGACTGGGAGGCATGGAAGGGGTCGAGACGGGCTCCCGCGGCAGGGGATTAGGCAGGGAGGGCCTAGGAGTCAGAGGTGAGGCCACGGAGCTGGGCGGGGTCGGGACCGCGTAAGCCAGGTCGGGAGCGGGGTGCGGGGTGGCCTTCGAGGGGCTCGGGCTCAAGGGGCTGAGAGAAGGGGGCGGGGCCGGGGCTGGCGGGGCCGGGGCTGGCGGGGCCCGTAGTCCGCGCAGAGCCCCTCACCTCTCTCCGGGCCGGTGATCCCGCTCCCTCTCCCGCTAGCGAGGCCGCACCTTGGGCCCCGGCACCCGGGCCCTCCACCCGGGCCCCCAAAAACACCCGAGCGCCGCGGTGCCGGGACCCCGCTCTGCCAGGAAACAAGAAGTCTCTCGCCTATTGGCCGTGGCTGCAGCTGGCGACCCGCCCAGTAAAGCTCGCTACCATTGGTCAGCTCTCAGGGTTCCTCGCACGTTAGTGGGTACCTGAGCGAGTGTCGTTCGGGGACGATGGCGGGCAGGAGCGGCCGGAGGGTTCTAGCAGCGTCTTCCGGAAGACGGTTAACGGCCTGCCTGCCGGGAGGCGGGAAAGATAAAGCGGCAGAAACTGGGACTCAACTGCGAAATAAAAAGACATCGTGTGAAACTCCTTATCGCTTAACAGTCTTGTGTCTCTAAAATGAAACACGTAGCCCACTGCGCCGGGAATCCCTCCCGTTTTGTGTTCTGTAGTGTGACGGACGCAAAAGCTGAGTGGAGGATGCGGGCATCGATCCCGCTACCTCTCGCATGCTAAGCGAGCGCTCTACCATTTGAGCTAATCCCCCGCCTGCTGCTTAGTTCTTTCCCTTTGCCTTACAGGTTCACTGCACTGTTCACTGACCAGTGGATCAACCACAGTTCAGGACATTTATTTAGCAGAGTACAATACAGTGGCATCCATGTGCAAGATTCTAAAAATCAAGCATATAATCGTGTGCTTAAGCAGAAAACATTCTAAAACACGTTACCACATGTACATTGAACGCAGAAAGAGCGTTACCGTATACTACATACTACGGTGTTCCCTATGGACTGACGGCAGTACGAATGCTAAGTCACAGGAGGCCTCCAAGCCTTTCCCCTTATGGGATAATTGAATTAAATTGAGGTTAAAAATTACAGACGAAGTCCTTCGAGCCGGAATCGAACCAGCGACCTAAGGATTGCCACGCCCTATCCACTACAGTCCTCCGCTCTACCAACTGAGCTATCGAAGGCTCCGCTGCGATAAGATGCTGCTGATAGCCCTCTAATGCTTACCGCAACCTCATCCAGCCATGACCCCCGCTTTCTCCAGCTGAAGGAACCTGCCAGGGCAGGAGACCCATGGGACCTCACAGAGCTGAGAAAGCCGGAGACCCAAAGGCAAGGAAAAGAAGCTGCCCAAAGTCCGGGTTCTCAGGCCAGAACGGAGGCCACACCGGCCCTGAGCTTCCCGGCTTTTTAACAAAATGTTCCCAACACCCCGCGGTGGTTTCTCCTGGACCGCGAACGCCGAGCCCGCCGCCGCCTCCTGGAGCTCCGGGGCAGCGCTTGTGCCGCGGTACCTGCACTCACAGGGGCTTTGCGACCGCGACGCGCAAACCCTGCTCGAGAGCCGATGGGCCACTTTGGCTGCTCCTGCTCCACATTTCCCTTGGCTTCTCCGGACGTGCTCTCCTGACGCGAACGACATTCGCTCGGCCAATTAACTCAGGTTTTGTCAGGCTCTATTCGTCCTGACCAGTGCAAGAGAGACGGCGACCGCGGGGTGCTGCAGGCTTCGGCGCGGCGCATTATCGGGCTGTGCCGAACCCCCCGGGCCGCCCTGGGATCGCGGGCCTGGCGGCGTGGCCCGAGGGCTCGGGGAGAGGGCTACGCGCCAGGAGAGGGCGGCGGGGCTGCAGTACAGGCTTTCCTGCCCTCGGAAGCGCTCGCAAGCCTGGGGGATTCCCCTGCGGTAGACCTGGGATGGTGGGCGGCGCGCGGCCGGGTAGGTCCCTGCAGCCTCCGAGGCCCACGTGAGGTCGGGGTCGGGGCGGCTGTACAGTGCCCAGCACAGGCCACTGGCCTCCCTTGTGGGTCTTTGCACAGGTCCGCTTACTCTCGGAAATCTTGGGTTCCCCAGGGCCGGGGAAGGGTCTTCTGCCTGGTCTGGGGCCCCTCCCCCGACACTGTGGATGTCTAGGTGTCCCGGGTGGGGTCAAGGAGTGACCCCACGGGTTCCCCCATCTTTGTCCCTATCCAGCTCACACCTTCGCCTGTCTTTTGCATGTGTTTTTTCCACAACCTTTTGTTCACCGGGTTTTTAACAACAGAAATAAACCTAACCCCCAACTCCTCTGTGAAGCCCTGCTTGGTCGTCCTGTGGGGTGGGTGTGCCGGAAGACCTGGCCTCAATTTCCAGCTCTGGGCCAACGTCCTGTGCTACCTTGAGCCAACATCGCCCGCGAATCCAGGTCTGGTGATGCTTTCTAGCCCCTTGCAGCTCCAACATTTGATGGGTTCTCTCGGGCTGAGCTTTAAATCCGAAGTTTCTAGATATAAAGTTGTGTCAACATTTAGATAGAAGAATATAGAAGATCTGCATAGCTTTTATTATTCAATATCAAAAAATCACATTCATGGCCAGGCGTGGTGGCTCACACCTGTAATCCCAGCACTTTGGAAGGCCGAGGTGGGCGGATCCCCGGAGTTCAAGAGTTGCAGACCAGCCTGGCCAACATGGTGAAACCTGTCTCTACTAACATACAAAAATAATTAGCAGAGGATGGTGGCGCGCGCCTGTAATCCCAGCTACTCCGGAGGCTGAGGTGGGAGAATCGCTTGAACTCGAGAGGCGGAGGTTGCAGTAAACCGAGATCGCGCCACTCCAGCCTAGGCAACAAGAGCGAAACTCCGTCTCAAAAAAAAAAAAAAAAAAAAAAGCAGCCGGGAGTGGTAGTGAGCTCCTACCACTCCGGTAATCCCCAGCAACTCGGGAGCCTGAGGCAGGAGAATCGCTTGAACTTGGGAGGCGGATTGCAGTGAGCCTAGAGTGCGCCACTGCACAACAGCCTGGGAGACAGAGAGAGACTCTGTCTCAAAGAAAAGGCCACACGCGGTGGCTCACGCCTGTAATCCCAGCATTTCGGGAAGCCGAGGCGGGTGAATCACCTGAGTTCAGGAGTTCGACACCAGCCTGGACAACATGGAAACCCCTTCTCTACTAAAAATAAAAAATTAGCCGGACGTGGTGGCGCATGCCTGTAATCCTAGCTACTTGGGAGGCTGAGGCAGGAGAATCCCTTGAACCCAGGAGGCGGAGGTTGCAGTGAGCCGAGATCGTGCCACTGCACTCCACCGTGGGCGACAGAGCGAGACTCCGTCTCAACAAACGAACAAACAAACAAAAACCTCTCAACAGAAAGAAGTCCAGGATCAGAAGACTTCCATGTGAATGCTACCAAACATTTAAAGAATTAACACCAGTCCTTTTTTTTCTCTCAGATCACTAAATGAAGGTAACACCAATCCTTTCAAACTGTTCGAAAGAATAGAAAAGAAGGGAACACTTTTTAATTGATTATATGAGGCCAGCATCATTCTGATGGCACAGCCAGACCAAAAGACCACAAGAAGACTACAGATCAACATCCCTTATGAATATTGATGCAAAAATCCTCAACAAAATACGAGCAAACTGAATCCAATAGCATATTAAAAGGAGAAAACCATGACCAAGTTAGACTTATTGAAGGAATGTAAGGGTGTTCAACATAAGAAAAATAAATAAATGTAGGCCGGGCCTGGTGGCTTACGCCTGTAATCCCAGCACTTTGGGAGGCCCAGGTGGGCGGATCACCTGAGGCCAGGAGTTTGAGACCAGCCTGGCCAACACAGTGAAACCTCATCTCTACTAAAAATACAAAAATTAGCTGGGCATGGTGGTGCACGCCTGTAATCCCAGCTACTCGGGAGGCTGAGGCAGGAGAATCACTTGAACCCAGGAGGCAGGGGCTGCAGTGAGCCGGCCACTGCACTCCAGCTTGGGAGACAGAGGAAGACTCCATCTCAAAAAAAGAAAAAAAGAAAAATAAATCAATGTAATATACCACATTAATAAAATGAAGGAAAAAAACTACATTATCTCAATTGATACAGGAAAGGGTGACAGAATTCATCACCCTTTCATGAAAAGTAGAAACTCAGAAAACTAGAAATAGAAACGAACTTCCTCAGCATGATAAAGAACATTTATGAAAAACCCACAGCTAACATAAAACTCAACGGTGAAGGTCAGGAACAACCACTAAGGTCAGGAACAAGACAAAGATGCCTACTTTCACTGTTGCTACTCAACATTGTACTAGAATTTCTGGCCAGAACAACTAAACAAGAAAAAGAAATAAAAAGCATCCAACCTAGAAAAGAAGAAATAAAACTATCCCTATTTGCAGACTATATTGTCTTATATATAGAAAATACCAAAGAATCTACCAAAAAACTATTAGAAGAAAAAAAAACTATTAGAGAAAATTCAGCAAAGTTGCAGAGAACAAGATCAACATGCAAAAAAACAAATTGAGCTTCTTTACACCAATAATGAACAGTCTGAAAGAAAATTAAAAATGTAACTTCTGGGCGTGGTGGTACATGCCTGTAATCCCAGCACTTTGGGTGGCTGAGGTGGGAAGATGGCTTAAGCTCAAGAGTTCAAGACCACCCTGGGCAACATTGTGAAACCCCATTTCTTAAAAAAAATACAAAAATTAGCTGGGCATAGTGGCGTATGCCTGTAGTTCCAGCTACTCAGGAGGTTGAGGTGGGAGGATCACCTGAGTGCAGGGAGGTTGAGGCTGCAATGAGCTGTGATCAAGCCACTGCACTGCAGCCTTGGTAACAGAGTGAGACCCTGTCTCAAAAATAATAATAATAAAATAAGGCCGGGTGCGGTAACTCACATCTGTAATTCCAGCACTGTGGGAGGCCTAGGCGGGAGGATCACTTGAGGCCAGGAGTTTGAGATCAGCCTGGCCAACAGGGAGAAACCCTGGTCTCTACTAATAGGAAGTGGTGGCTTACATCTGTAATCCCAGCTACTCGGGAGACTGAGGCAGAATTGCCTGAACCCAGGAGGTGGAGGTTGCAGTGAGCTGAGATGGCGCCACTGTACTCCAGCCTGGGCAACTGAGTGAGACTCCGTCTCAAAACAATAAAAAGTAAAATTAAAAAGAAAATAAGAAAAATATTTACTACCTGGAAACTAAATCTTTCTCTTTGGTGGGAGGCATCGTAACTTAAAATATGTGTAGTAGGCTGGGCGTGGTGGCTCATGCCTGTAATCCCAGTACTTCGGGAGGCCAAGGCGGGCAGATCACGAGGTCAGGAGATCGAGACCATCTTGGCTAACACAGTGAAATCCTGTCTCTACCAAAAATACAAACAATTAGCCGGGCGTGGTGGCACATGCCTGTAGTCCCAGGTACTCGGGAGGCTGAGGCAGGAGAATTGCTTGAACCCGGGAGGCGGAAGTTGCAGTGAGCCAAGATCGCGCCACTGTACTCCAGCCTGGGTGACAGAGTGAGACTCCGTTTCCAAAAAAAAAAAAAAACAAATGTGTAGTAATTTCCATGGAGCTGTCTGGGACAGACTGGATATCTCCTGGCCTTCCAAGTGAGGTGAGCTGTTAATAATAGCACCCACTCATATATCTGAAGAGTATATCTATGGATGAAGTCTAGGGTATTTGGAAATATATAAACTATGAAAGGTGTAAATATGTTTTATTGTAGATAATGTATAAGATAGCTATTTAAAACAACTGTAAAAGCCACAGAGTGGGAGAAAATATTTCCAAAAGACATATCTAATAAAGGACTGTTATCCAAAATATACAAAGAACTCTTAAAACTCCACAATAAGGGCAGACACAGTGGTTCACACCTATAATCCCAGCACTTTGGGAGGCAGAGGCAGGAAAATCGCTTGAGGCTGAGAGTTTGAAACCAGCCTGGGTGACACAGCAATGTCTACAAAAAAATTTTTTTGAATTAGCCTGGCGTGGTGGTGTGTGCCTGTAGTCCTAGCTACTGGGGAAGCTGAGGTGGGAGGATTGAGGTTGCAGTGAGCTATAATTGCACCATTGCACTCCAGCCTGCGTGACAGAGCAAGACCCTGTTTCTTAAAACCAAAACAAACAAAACAAAACAAAAAACCCTCAGCAATAAGAAAATGAACAACCCAATTAGAAAATGGAGAAAAGATCTGGACACCTCACCAAAGAAGATATACAAATGGCAAATAAGCATATGAAAAGATGCTCAGTTTCACTAGGGAATTGCAAATTAAATATCTTCATCCACCTATGAGAATGGTGAAAATCCAAAATACTGACAAAACCAAATGAAGATGCATAGTAATAGGAACTCTAATTCACTACTGATGAGAATGCAAAATGGTACAGCCACTTTGGAAGACAGCTTGATGTTTTTTACAAAACTAAACATACTCTTATCATATGATCAATTGTGCTCCTTGGTATTTAACTAAACGTGTTTGAAAACTTATGCCCACACAAAAACCTAAACTCAGAGGTTTATAGCAGCTTTACTCATAATTGGGAAACTTGGAAGCAACCAAGATGTCCTTCAGTAGATGAATGGATACACTGTCGTACATCCAGACAATGGGATATTATACAGTGCTAAGAAGAAATGAGCTATCTCGCCATGAAAAGACATGGAAGAATCTTAAAGACAAATTACCAAATGGCCGGGTGTGGTGGCTCATGCCTGTAATCCCAGCACTTTGGGAGGCCGAGACAGGTGGATCACTTGAGTACAGGAGTTTGAGACCAGCCTGGCCAGCATGGTGACACCCTGTCTCTAGCAAAAATACAAAAATTAGCCAGGGGTGGTGGCACGCACCTGTACTCTCAGCTACTTGGGAGGTTGAGGCAGGAGAATCGCTTGAAACCAGGAGGCAGAGGTTGCAGTGAGTCGAGATTGCACCACTGCACTCCAGCCTGGGTGACAGCGTAAGACCCTGTCTCAAAAAAAAAAAAAAAAAAAAAAATTACCAAATGAAAGAAGCCAATCTGAAAAGGCCACATAGTATGATTTTGACTATATGGCATTCTGGAAAAGACAAAACTGGAGAGAGTAAAAGATCAGTGGTTCCTTCGGCTCTGGGGGAAGAAGGGAGGGAGGAATAGGTAGAGCACAGGAGATTTTCATGGCAGTGAAACTCTTCTATATAATGGTGTATACATGCTATTGGACAGTTATCAAAACCTACAGAGTGTACAACGCAGATAGCGAACCCTAATGTAAGCTATGGACTTACATTATGGACGATGTGTCAATGTAGGTTCATTGATTACAACAAATGTACCACAGCAGTATGGGATGTTGATGGTGGGGGAGGCTGTGGTGGGGGCGGGTTGGGGAGGAAATATATGGAAACTCTCACTCAATTTTGATGTGAACCTAAAACTGCTCTAAAAAATAGTCTATTCAGGCCAGGCATGGTGGCTCATGCCTGTAATCCCAGCACTTTGGGAGGGCAAGGCGGGTGGATCACCTGAGGTCAGGAGTTTGAGACCAGCCTAGCCAACATGGTGAAACCCCCTCTCCACTAAAAATACAAAAGATTAGCTTGGCGTGGTGGCGGGCACCTGTGGTCCCAGCTACTTGGGAGGCTGAGGCAGGAGAATCACTTGAACCTGGGAAGCGGAGGTTGCAGTGAGCCGAGATCACGCCATTGTACTCCAGCCTGGGGAACAAGAGCAAAACTCTGTCTCAAACAAACAAAAAAAAGTCTATTCAAAAATTAGTAAGTGATGTGCTAACACAAAAAGAAGTTATATCAAGGCACATCCAACAACACATTCAAAGTCAACATTTGTATTAATAGGCAGAATAGTCAATATTTACTAAATATTCACTCATACCCTGAACAGTGGACACTCCCTCCAAAATCCTTCTTATACCTCAAGTAGAGCACCAAAACTGCCCAGTATAAAGGGAATACACATAGGGAAAAGCAAGGCCCTTTCTCCCCTCAACAACTGTGAAGGGTATGTAGTAAAAACAGATCACTCTAAGTGTCCACTTAAATTTAAACTCCTTTAGGTGAGGTAAGACAACAAAATGCTCAGAGGTCATTGAACCACTGAAATGTCTGTATAGGGCCGGGCACGGCGGCTCATGCCTGTAATATCCCAACACTTTGGGAAGCCAAGGTGGAGGATCACTAGAGACCTGGAGTTTACTGATTATATGAATCAATGAACCTATAATCAATGGGACCAGCCTAGGCAACATAGTGAGGAGCCATCTCTACAAAAAATTTTTAAAAAAGGAGGCGGGCATGGCACGCATCTGTAGGCCCAAATACTCGGGAGGCTGTGGTGTGAGGATCATTGAGCCCAGGATTTTGAGGCTGCGGTGAGCTATGATCACGAACCACTTCACTCCAGCCTGGGCAACAGGGCAAGACCCCGTTTCTTTAAAACAAAAAACAAATGCCTGTGTAATTGACACTGGGTCATTCTGTAACAGGGCAGGGCAGGTGTGCCTGGCTCTGTGGGAAACAACCCGCCCTCTTTATGGTGGTGGCATTTTGTGAATGGACTGACAATGTAGCAGGCATGAGCTCAGCAACACTATCTGCCTAGTGACATCCATCGTAGTAAGTCAGGCTACCCATCAAGCTGCCCTGCTCTAGAACTGAAGTGTGGATTGGATACAAATAACCAGAGAAATCCAGAAATCTGCTGGAGACTTAGGAAAACGAAAGGATGTTTCAAAGTGAGTCATGCATATTATTTTCAAGTCCACAAAAGAACTGGTAATAAAGTTAGTAAGAAATAAACATACTCATAACTGCCCTTCAGCTTTATGGTGTGTTATCGGTTGAACTTCAGCTGTGTGGAGTTACTGTCCAGATGTGTGACTCTCTGAGGTGTCAGCTCCTTTTGGTTCTTCCAATAACAGCAATAGTTACAGTGTGACTGCCCCACCTGTCAGCATCACTGTCCTATGCTGGTTCAATTTACTGGCCCCGCTTGGACTCCTGTTTGTTGACAGCTCTGCAAAAATGAAATGTCTGGACATCTGGTTTTGCTTTAATGCAGAGCAGGTGCGTATTGGACTAGTCCACCACACAGGAAAAATTTCCGACAATTTCAACATTGGGTCAAAAAACTGTATCTATCGAATAAAGTCAATTAAGCTGTCAGTGTTCCTGTAAGTAGAGACCACAATTAATCTAAGTTGATGAAAAATGTTGCTCCCCAGGATTTTAGTGTCAGAAGTTAAATGAACCCAGCAAGGTAAATATAGTCACACATTAGAAGCCAACACAGCACTTGTGGCATCCTTGGTTCGCTGGATGCAGCCTTGGACTTCTACAACAGTTATCACCGAACTTGTCCTCCCTGTGCCATTGTCAACCCATTCTCACAACTGCCACCTTTCTCCAACTCACCTTGAACACAGGCCAGTTCTCCTGCCCAGCAGTCCTAAGACTTTGGCCCTTTGCCAGGTAGTTTCTCTTCTCCAGGAAGATGGTCATGGTTAATTGCCACTAGGAGAGCAAGGGGTCTGCTTGTGGGCTAATTCCAGAGGAAACGTAGCGAACACGAGATGCTGTTGTATTCATGACCTCACTTTGGGTCGATACTTTCCTACATCTGCTACTTTATATTCGAACCACTGAAAAAGCGGAGTGTCTCAGGGCACCGTGTGAGAGGGGAAGTGATAACTGGCCATCATACCTGCTGAGTGTCATGGGAGTTTATGAGGGAAGCTGAATCTGCCTTTGAGAACTGCTAGAGCGTATCTCTAGTACTGCTGACTTGAAACATTTAAGGAAACAAAATTGAGAACTAAGAAACCAGCAGAGTTATCTAACTCCTTATAGTCTCAAGTCAAAAATAAAAAGGGGCTTCGGTGATAAACCTTGGACTCATGTGTCCCTTGGAGTTCTAAATCTTTCACTCACTGCTCTATAAAATGAAGGTCCTGGCAAGGAAAGGACACCTCCTGGTCACTGGCCAAGAATTCCCCTAGGAGACGGCCCCCTGCTTTTCTAAGCGTAAAACTATCAAGGCAAATCTGGGACGTGAATCACAGTGACAAGTCAGACACTATAATTAGGGTAGCAAGAGAAGTGTCTAGAACACCCACCAGGTCAAACTTTAGAACCATGTGTGTGGGCTTCCCCCACCAGGAGCTTAATTACAGCCACGGCTACAGTCTTCAGGAGGGCAAGGGCCCAGGATTTTGTTATTCTGAACCATAACTAGGGGAATTTCTATATGAGGATGCAGACAAGAATGCTAGAAATCAAATCTGTGTCCTTTATTCCACCTGGTAGGGCATACCCAAGAACCATATACTGAGTCCTGTCTCAGGTTGATGGAGGGTTCCCTGGGCCCAAGGCACACAACTGCCTGTGCTCTGCTCTACAGATGATAGGAGGGATGGACAGTGGAGAGAAGCTGAGCCTTGTGACCAAGACCCCCAGCATGATGGGGAATGGAAAGTTGGAAGAAGTAGGACTACAAGGGAGGGGACAGGGAGGGGCTTAGAGGCATTTGGGGCAGGCTGGGCATTTTGAAGTGAGAGGCATTTCCATCCAGCTCCCCATGTCCACTGACAGCCACACCCAGGCTTCAGGTGGAGGTGAGGCTGCTGTTTCCCAATGCGGTGCTATATTCTTCTGGAAGCCCCTTTCCTTCTGCTGTGGCTAGAGCTGTGACCAAGAATGGGAACAGGAGGCTGCTAAAGTCTGGAGAAGCAGGAATCATTTGTCAGAAGAACACAGAAGCCACCTGCTGGGAGTTCTATCTTTTTAGAGATGAGCTGTTTGGGGTTTAGAAATGAGATGGAAGGAAGTGGAAGGCAGAGGGCAAGGGCGGAGTTGTGAGAGGCTACCAGCACAAGGATGGAGGCTGGGGGCCATGTGCAGTAGGGCCAGAAAAGTGTTCAGTGGAATTGTGGGTAGGAGGCTGAGATGCTGCTGGGCCCTGTCCCCACCAAAGATGGAAGAACTGAGGTGGAGGCAACTGGCCACTTGCCTAGGAGAGAACTCAGGCACCAAGTTAAAAAGACTCCCATGAAGAACTGCCACCTTCTACCCGCTGCAGTCTTGGATGGTCTACCCATGCAGAAATCAGTGGCCAGGAAGGCAGGGCCTACTGCTGGGATATCAGGGCAAGTGCCCAGTCCAAGAAAGCCACTGTAATGTCCTGTAGGCAAAGCCAGGTCCAGTGGACAGCCTCACTGAGCTGTGTCTTCATGCAGTCCCAGGTCACCTCACCTCTGGAAGGAAAGTGGAACATTTTTGAGTATGCACGTGAGTAGCTGTGTCAACTTTCGGGGATGAAAGCTTAGACCCACAACCCTCATCCCAGGGTGGCCAGGAATGGGAGCGAGGGGCAGGACAGTGTGGGAGACTGGATAGAGATGGCTTGTCCCTGGGGCCCGGGAATGGGGCTGCTGGGGATCCTGCCGGAGCCCTGGGCAAAGGTCTCACCTGCATGCCTCATGGCAGTGCTCCTGGGCCCAGGCCAGGGCCTCAAGCAAGAGGTGCCACAGTGGCAGCAGCACATTCTGGTGGAAAAGCAGGGGCAGCTCTCTCAGATAGCGGAGTAGCTGATTCACGGAATCGGGGAGCTGGATCTGTAGCTGGACCATGGAGAATGGATGGGGTCAGAGTATCCAGGGAACTGCATCCTGGCCCTAAAGACTCAGGCCACACAGTGCTGCTCCTTTCCCAGAATTCTGCTCCTGGGAAAACCAGCCCCTTATTTGACTCCCTGTCTCTGACTTACCCTCTGAGAGAGACTGGTGAGACTGTCACCAAACCACGCAAGGTGAGAGGCACAGTGGGCAGAAAGGAAGCTGACTGTGGCATTGGTGTGAGCCCAGGCCAGCTGCAAGCTGGGCCGCACCACGGTGAGCAGGTGGGAGCCCCAGAGCGGCAGTGTCTCCCCCAGCCAGCTGTGGAAGATGGAAGTGGGGGAAGAGGGCTCTGAGTCTCCTCAGGCCCACTTAGCTCCCAAGAAACAGCTGGGGAAAGGGAGGCCGTGGGAAAGGAGAATCACAAGCGCTTCCCACTGACTGTCGCCTCCTCCCTGACACCCAGGCCTTCTCTCTTCTGCCTCTCCTCTCCCCTCCCTGGGAGGAGCTCACCTGTAGCCTTGCAGACTGTAGGAGTAGAGCTTGGCACACGCTTGTTGGCTAGCAGGTAAGAAGCCAGATGATCGAAGCAACCGGCCAGTAAGGGAGGCTAAGTAAAGGGGGCCTCTGGTGAGCTGGGAGGTGAGAGGGGCAGGGACTGGGGAGACAGACACTACAGGGCCCAGAGCAGGCACAGCGAGGCGCTGGGCAGAGCTTTGTGTTCTCACAGGGCCACAAAGCCAGCTCCAGGCTGCTGTGGAGGGAGGCATGCAGAGCTGCCCTTCTCCTGCTGGGCCAGGTGTGCAGGAATGCAGCTGCCGGTTGGAGCCTAGGCTCAGGCTTCAGGAAGCCTCAGGTTGAGGGTCTGCCCTTCTACTTACTAGCTATGACCTAAAGCTAATTGCTACATCTTTCTGAGACCATTTCCTCAGGAGTTAAAAGGAGGTAACACCTACTAAAATGATACTATGAATATGCAAGCACTTCTATACTGCGAAGTCCTAGTCCAATCTGAAATGGTAGTGTCATATCTGTGGACAAAAAAATCTGTCTGTAAAGTGTTTACTCTGCAGGATTGAGAACTCGTCAGGACAAAGATGTGTGCTGCTGGGGGCGGGGTGGTGGTGCTACGTGTAGCTCTGTGCCCCGCCCACACCATCCTCCTCGCTTGCCCATTGCTGCTTACCCTGGAAGGAGCTGTGTGACCGGAGGTCATGGCACAGGAAGCCTACAGCGAAGACCAGCAGCAACAGGAGGAGCCGCGTCCAGGGCAGCCGAGGACCCTGAACCTGCTGCAACAGGCCCTGGTGGGAGGGGAGCAGGAGACAGTTGTCAGAAGCGAGGGGCTGGTCTTTGCCTCTGAGGGCAGACCTCAAGCCAGGCCTTCCCGAAAGAGCGTCAAGCCTTCACATTATCCTGGAGGCAGCGGGGGGCTCCAGACAGGTGGGGCAGGAATGTGATACAGGCCCAACCCAGGTGTGCTGAGACAGAGATGTAAGATAGCGTGTGGGCTGGAGAGGACCGGGTGCCAGCACCTTGCAGGCCATGTCACAGGTGACGACATCCTGGTTGTTACTGCTACCCTTCCTCAGCAGCTCCTGGTTGGTAAGCTTGAGGGACTGAATGGTTTCTTGCAAAGACTTCTGTACCTATGGACAAGAAAGGTCTGGCCTGTGAGGGAATCCAGAGCTTCCATCCTGCTTCATTTTCCATGCCAACAGGGTCCCTTCTCAGGGAAGGGACAGTGGCTGAGGAGCCCCCACTCAGAACCTAGAATCCAGACAGGGCTCAACCTGCCACGTCCTCCCAGCTCCTCACCTTCTTGGGAATCTGCTCCCAGGAGCTGAGCAAGTGCTCCAGCAGAAGGCTGTGGGGAAAGCACAACCCCCTAGTCAGGTGGCTCGCGCAGCCTCACCCATCCTCCTGTCCTCCATTAGCCCTGGCTCCTTCAGGCTGAAAGACCCTCCACCTACCACCCACAGAGCAGCAGCTTCCTAGAGGCTGCTCCAGCAATGTTCCCACTCAGCCTGAAAGGTGTCAGGCCATGGGACAGTGACCCAGGCTCCCCTTCTGCTTCTAGCACAGGGACAGGCTGGCCTCCCACCCCACCTGCCTGGACTGTGACAGGTGCTTAGGGTACAGCTGCCTCCAGACGCTGGCACTGAGGGGGTCCACCGTCAGGCACTCAGTCAGGCTGCTCAGGAGCTGCACAGCACGACAGAGGGAGAGGCTGCTGGGGGCATGGGGCTGGCAGAGGCGGGGAGTGCTAAGAGGTGATCCCCTTCCCGTAAGCAAGGCCATCCAGGCCGCACATCCACCCTAAGGGGTGGAGAAACAGTGTCAAGACTCCAGAAAGCTCTCTGAGAGGCTGTAAAGCAGGAGGCTGGGGCTCCTGAGCTAGAGCTTTGAGCTCAAAGATCACTATCTGCAAGAGACGGGCATCAGAAACCACCCAGACCTGAATGTGCTGTCTCTTGGGATCCATCTTCTGAGGGTGAAGCTCGAGTGAGCGGGGCAGGCAGCTGTCAACAGGGAGCTAAGGAAAAGCCTCAGAATGGGCTCTGTGAAGGCAAGGCCTTTGTCAGCAGATAGGGACCGCTACAGCTGACCCCTGGGGAAGGAGAAAAAGCCTCCCACCATATCCTCACCTCTTTCTTCATCTCAGGGGGACAGCTAGGGGTGGCTCTGGACAGGAAAGAAGGGAAGTAGGTATGCAGGGTGGAATCCGGCTTTGCTCCAAATGCCAGCACTTTCAGTCGGGGGTAGAGCTGACACAGCTGCTCCTGCAGGCTGGGTGGGGTGGGGAGGAAAGACAGGCATAAGCTATAAGTGGAGCTGTATGATATGAACCTTTTGCTTGCTTCAGAGCCCATGCCTGCCTGTGGGGAATAGCCACTGAGGACCTTGCAATGGCTCTGAATCTTTTTACTCAGAGACTCCTTGGAAATCTGTTGAAAGCCATGGACCCTATCCCTAAGAAAATGCCCATATGCCAATCACACTCAAGGGTCCATATAATTTCAAGGGGTCACTGTTCCCTTGAAACCTACTCTTGAACTTCCAGGTTGCAAATCTCAGATCTAGGATGGCTGGGGAAGGAGAGACGGGAATATGTAGTGTGGTTCTGGTGCTGTGGTCCCTTCTCAGCAGGTGTGCCCCAGAGCAGTCCTACCTGGGTGTCAGGGAGTTGTTCGGCATATAGGCAAAGTCCAGAAGTGGGAAGAAGTCCTTGGGGCCAATCATGCCGAAGCCCTTGGTAAGGTTGGGATGCATCCTGTGGGGATGAAGAAACAGGCTCGCTGGACACCACCACCCATGCCAGCTGTTTTGGCCATGACCCCAGCTAAGCCAACATCTAGGAAAAAGGGTATAAACTCTACCCCATCTGCCAGCCCTTAATAGCTCCCTCTTCTTCCTTCCTCACCATCACATTCTAAGGTGGTGGGAGAAGCTGGTCCTGATTTTCCTCATATCCATGGAGACCAAGATCATAGCCTCCCATTTTGCTATAACAGCCACTTGGGACACCCTGAGCCTTCCCCTTGCTGCCCTCCCATTACTCACAGGAGCAGCCGATCCAGGTATGTGATGGCAAAGGGAGACAGAGACTTGATGCCCAGCACAGGCAGCATGATCCCCAGCCACACTGCAGGGGTAAAAGTCACGAGGGAGGCCTCAGGCTTGCACCTACTGGGGGCATCAAAGAGGAGTTTTCCAGCTCCGAGACCCTCCCTCTTTCTTCCCTATTTCCCTGTTACCTTTCAGTCCCTCGGTGAGGTTGGCAAAACCTGCTTGACCCAGGGCCCACATGATGGTGAGACACTTTGCTGGTCGGCTCTGGTGGGACCTCAGCAGTTCCAGGAACTGAGGAGACCGGTGGGGAAGGCAGATTGGGATAGGACAAAACACCAGGAGCACCCCCCAAAGCCAGGAGGGAAGGGAGATGTCAACTGGAAGAGGGAGGACAGGCCGAGCAAGAGTGGAGCACTATGGCCACGTGGTGCAGGTTCTGTTTGTGGGCTTCGCCCATACTCTGCCATTTACTGGATGACTGAGCCTAGGAAAGTTACTGAACTCCTCTGTGGCTCAATCTTTTCATCTATAAAAATGGGAAATAATAGCAGTACCTTGCTCCTATGTTTCCAGAGCACACACACAGGATAGGTGCTAATAGTGTTACCCATTATTACTAGGCTTACAGGTCTTCCACTATCCCAAACCTGAGTCCAACAACATAGATTCTGCCCAGCCTCCCCAGTCCTAGCTTCCTAGCATCCCCACCATCACTGAGAGCTCACCTTGCCTAGGTTTGCCGTGGCAATCTTGGGCTTGTCTTGCAGGATGGCCTGGATACAGATGCGGTAACCATGTAGTGACTCCCCTGGAGAGATACACATTCTCACACCTACTCACATTATTTGGCATCCCAAACCTGAAATCTCCCATTTGTCAGCGGTGAGCCCAGGCCCCAGGTCCACTGACTCCTAACTTCCTCCACACTTTCCAAAAAGTGTTAAGGTTAGCACATTTCTCTGCTGGAAACAGAACCACTGAGTGGTACTGGAAGCAGGAAAAAAAGGAGGAGGCTCCCAAGATGGTCATCCCTCCCGTGCCCCTTTCACCTGGTGTCTTATCCAGCTCTTGCAACATGGTGAACAGACAGTGGTCAAAAAAGAGCTCCAGAGACCCTGCTGCCTTCGCCAGCAGCCCTCGGATGATCCCACGTAGCTCCCGGCTCACCAGGCTGTAGGGATAATCTAAGGCCCATAGGCCTCAATGTGAGTGCTAGGACCAGACACCCATCAGCTCTGAGAACTGTGGTGCTCTCCCTGGGAATGGTGAGTGGAGGCAAAGGCCCCTGCACTGAGGCTGGGATCCTTCCTCTGAGGAGGCCCAGAGGGAGGATCACAGAATGAGGCCCAGAAACATTCACAGTCACGATGATTTGAGACCAGCCCAAATCACCCATGGAAATCAGGACAGTGTGGGGCACTGGGATCTGTTATACCACCCTTTTTGAATTTATTTGAACTTGTCTGAGCTTGAGGAAGCTGGAAGGACTTACCATGAGTATGCTGGCTCAGCGTGGGTTCACTTAGAGGAGCTTGTAGCTTGTAGTTGAGATAGCTGGCCAGGTCCTTCAACCATATGGATGGGTTTCCAGAGAACACACTCTGGCTCTTGTCCAGTTCCTTCTGCAGGTCTGCCACATCCAGCTGCCAGGGACAATCCCCCAACCCCCCACCATGGCGAGTTGTGAGTGAGGGAGTAAAGAAATGGGGTAGGGGTGGGAAAATGGTTGAACTAGGTGGCAGTAGGAAGAAGGGATTCCATTTTTAAGCATAAGAACATGGAATGCTGCAATTCTGCTGTACCTACATCTTTAAGAATGGAACAGGACAGCTGAAAATGCTGATCTCAGGCCCTATCCTCTCAGGCCCTCCACATGTTCAAGAGGAAAACAGAGGGCCAGGCGCGGTGGCTCACGCCTGTAATCCCAGCACTTTGGGAGGCCAAGGTGGGCGGATCACCTGAGGTCAGGAGTTCAAGACCAGCCTGGCCAACGTAGTGAAACCCCATCTCTACTAAAAATACAAAAATTAGCCAGGCGTGGTGGCAGACGCCTGTAATCCCAGCTGCTTGGGAGGCTGAGGCAGGAGACAGAGGTTGCAGTGAGCTGAGATCACACCACTGCACACCAGCCTGGGCGACAGAGGGAGACTCTAACTCAAAAAAAAAAAAAAAAAAAGAGGAAAACAGAGGACAAGACAGAAAATGAAAGATCAGTATTTCCATAGGACAGAGAATCATAACCAGTTTCTCCATCTCCTCCCTGGTGTTCCTGGGTCTTCAAGGCTTTCCTCTTACCAATCCATGTTTCCCTATAAATTTTCCATTTCCTTTCTATTCTAAGTGCAGGCATTCTGTTCCCCTGGGGTTTCCATCTTTTCCTGAACTCCTCTCAACCCTTAAAGTGTTTCAAATCCCATAGGATCTCAGCTGCCCATCCACCTCCCCCTCCTCTCATCTTCTCTAAATCTCAAGCCCCCATTCTTTCTGCGTCTCATGTCTAGGCACACTCACAGCTTTCAGTGCTTCCTCCAGGCTGCGGAAGCGGCCCTGCTTCTGGTTTTGGTTGGGAGGAGTTGCCACCTTCTTTGGCTGCTTCTTGTTCCCTGGTTTCTTAGGTTCCACAGCAGGGGGTGGGACCTGCTCCTTATTCTGCCGCTTCATGATATTCTCAAAGCCCCGCTCATAAAGGGTGCTTGTGGTCTGGATTGCAGCTGGGGTGAAGATAGGTAGAGAAAGGCAGGCCACCCTTGAGTCCCCAAGGCCTCACCTATCAGTGGTCCCTTTCCCCACACTGCCACCTAATTCATCTCCAGGGAAGAGCCTGTCTCAAAGCCCCTTCCTCTTGGACTGCTTAAGGAGCAGGGCAGGCTGTTCTCCTGGTAGCTTCTTTCATTACAGCTCTTGAGTCTATGGGCTCTTTCATAAAGATGGGGCAGTTCTTCATTAGACAAATCAGAGTATGTAGGAACAAGCAGAGAGGTTGGATATAGAGGTTTGCCTTATTCAGTGAGTGGCTACTAGTCTGGGAAGACAAGCTTTTTCCATCTTGGTCCTACCCTAACGCCTCTTGGTTCCGACATGACAACTCTATAATCAACAAGTGGCAATCTTTCTCCACTCCTCAGTGGAAGAACCAGGTGTCACTTATAATTCCTGGTGAGTGTTGAGTGTGTGGCGGTCATTTCTCCCACTGCTGGGCCTCCTGTCCCTTCCTCCATGACCTGCTGGTTACTTAAAGAGGGGGCACCGTGTATAATGATCCACAGTACCTCTTCAAAGCTCAGACACCTGCCCAGAGAGACCAGCTAGGGCCCTGGGCAGCTGGGAGAGTGTGTGCAGTGAACTGAGAGTCTGAGGACCGGAATCCTAGCCCCTCTGACACATGACCCTGGCCAAGGTATCCAACTTCACTGGGCCTCAGTTTACTCATCTGGGAGGTGAGGACCGCAACCTTCCCTGGAGCTGTCTGCCTCCCGTGAGGCTCCAAAGAGACAACGCAAGCGTGGCGCTCGGGGATGTGCCTGCGAGCTCGCGCCCAGGTTCTGGGAGCCGCTCGCTGCGACCCTGCCGGACAGGCCTGGGGTAGGCGGCGGGGCAGGGCGGGTACTCACGGGTCAGGTCGTATTTCCACACTCCGTTTGCTTCCCCGAGCGCCCTGCGGTTCCTGCCGCCTCCTCGGCCGCCGGCGCCGGCGCCGACCCCAGGCCGCCGACCCTTCTTCACTACCTCCCACCGCCCCACGCCCGCCGTCTTGGTCGCCATGGCTCGCAGCCCTCCCTCCTCGGCCACTTCCCCGGCTTTCCGGTCCGGCGCGAGCGCGCCGCACTCTGCCACGTCTCCTCGCAGGACCGCGCGCCCGGCGCCCGGCGCCCGCCGCAAGGCAGCCTGGGACTTGTAGTCCCTCTCCTGGGCCGGGCTCTCCTGAGCGAAGAGCATCGGGAAGAGGCTTCCGCGGCAGCCTGCGGCCCCCGCCCAGGCGAAGAGGCCGGGAGGAGAGGAGATTCCCTTCTGAGAACGTTCATTGAGCGTCGATGTGAAGGCCACGGCATTGAGAGACTTGGTAGAACTGTTTCTGTTTTTCTTTCCTTTATTGATCAATTGATTGATTGATTGCCAGGGCCGCGCTCTGTCGCCCAGACTGGAGTGCAGTAGCGCGATCTCAGCTCACTGTAACTTCCGCCACCCAGGTTCAAGCGACTCTCGTGCCTCAGCGTCCCGAGTAGCAGGGACTACAGGCTCCCGCTGCCAAGCCCAGCTAATTTTTGTATTTTTAGTAGAGACGGGGTTTCGCCATGTTGGCTAGGCTGGTCTCGAACTCCTGACCTAAAGTGACCCACCCCACCCCCACCCCTCAGCCTCCCAAAGTGCTGGGATTACAGGCGTGAGCCACGGCGCCCGGCCACTGTTTTTCTTTCCTTTCTCGTAGAGCTGGAAGGATGGAAGGGAAGTAGTGCTCCTCATATCTAGGGAGAGATTGAAGATTAAATGCTTCCTTCCTTCTAGGAAAGTGCTGGCTTTACTGTTGCTAGTGATTAAACCTCGGGTTTAATGGGCTATACAAATCTATTGCCAAAGAACAAGGAAGAGGATGGGGGCTTGAGGAAAGGGCAGAGTGTTGGGGAGCTGGGGTAGGAGGTGGAGAATGGAGAATAATTTTTTTTTTTTTTTTTGAGACAGGATCTTGCTTTGTCGCCCAGGCTGGAGTTCAGTGGCGCGATCACGACTCACTGCAGCCTCAACTTCTAGGGCTCAGGTGATCCCCCACCACGGATCACCTGACCCACCACCACCCCCGGCTAATCTTTGGTATTTTTTGTAGAGACTGGGTTTTGCTGTGTTGCCCAGGCTGATCTCAAACTCCTGGGCTCAGTGATCCACCCTCTTCAGCCTCCCAAAGTGCTGGGATTACAGGAGTGAGCCACCGCTCCTGGCCTCTGAGTTCTTCTCATGGGAGGCTGAGAAAAGTCTGGGGGTCTGGGACAGCCAGGGCCGGGTTTCCCCTTCCAGGCAATGAGAAAGAACAGGCTCTGCCTCCCACCATAAGAGTCAATCCCAAGTTCCAGATGTGTCAGGGAAGCGATGGAGAGCCCCAGACTTGAGGCATCTGCAGACAGGTTCCTGCTCAGACATCCACGTGGAGGGTGTTAGTATCCTGGGAGCCTTCAGAACCTTGAAGCATGCCAGCAGAGGAGAATGAGGGAAGATAAAATCAAAGTGACTTATCACAATTAAGGAAATGTGCTATTTCATGTACAACTGTGTGTGAGGATGAGATTCCTACCTGCCATACTGAGGTATTATGATAAGAACTAAGAGAGTCCAAATTCCTACAGGATGAACAGCTGAGGGAGCGATGCATTCCTTAGGAAGGAGTTTAGCTTCCCGAAGGAGACGGCAGCTGAGATAGGTTCTGAGAAATAGCATTTTCATTGGTTCCCCGGGCGCCGTGGCTCACGCCTGTAATCCCAGCACTTCGGGAGGCCGAGGTGGGTATCACCTGAGGTCAGGAGTTCGAAACCAGTCAGGCCAACATGGTGAAACCCCATCTCTACTAAATACAAAAAAGTAGCCAGGTATGATGGCGCAGGCCTATAATCTCAGCTACTTGGGAGGCTGAGGCAGGAGAATCGCTTGAACCTTGGAGGCGGAGGTTGCAGTGAGCCGAGATTGTGCCACTGCACTCCAACCTGGGCAACAAGAGCTAAACTCCGTCTCAAAAAACCCAAAACAACAACAACAACAAAAAACAAAATTGAATGTTCACTGGCTGAGGGTTAGGGTGGGTGGAGAGAAAATGCCAGTTGTGTGGATCTGTTGATGTAAAACAAAGGCCTAGAGGGTGGTAAACTGGAAGCAGTTCAATGGGACAGTGCTTGATGGGACTTTGGAGGTGATGAGGTTTGATATAGTTTGGATTTTTGTCCCTGCCCAAGTCTCATGTTGAATTGTAATCCCCAGCGCTGGCAGTTGGGCCTGGTGGGAAGTGTTTGGATCATGGTGGTGGATCCCTCATGGTGGATCCCAGTTCTCATGAGATCTGGTCATTTAAAAGTGTGTGGCACCTCCCCACCACCTCTCTCTCTCGCTCGCTTGCTCGCTCCTGCTTTTACCATGTGATGTGCCTGCTCCCCCTTTGCCTTCCGCCATGATTGTAAGCTTCCTGAGGCTTCCCTAGAAGCAGATGTCAGCATTATGCTTCCTATACAGTCTGCAGAACTGTGAGCCAATTAAACTTCTTTTCTTATAAATTACCCAGTCTAGATGTTTCTTTATAGCAATGCAACAATAGCCTCTTATGAGTTTGGAAAGGGATCTGAGCCCATATGCCAAGGAACTTGCCTGCCAAATCTGGACTTTATCCTTCAGGCCCTGGGAGACCAGTGAGAGGGTGGCATAATCCACTCTTTTGGAAGGGTAAATGTGGCTGTGTGAAGTGTTGGTAGGGGAAGGCAGGGGGTGGGAGATGAGCATATCTTGCTGCCTCCTTCTACCTGTCCTCCAGCCCCCTTAGGCCTGACCATGGCTGACTTTGCATCCGGTAGCTCTGAGATACAGTGCCTTTGCCAAGGACCATATTTGAACTGATCATTAATCAATTCATTTTGCAGATCATTGGTTTAGGTGTACTCAGGAGACCAACAACAATATCTTCTCTTTGTTTGACCCCTCCTGTGTCACATGTATGATCACAGAAGAGACCATGTTTTTGGAAGAGAAACAGAACTGGCTTTCCATTGAGGCAAATGAGGGGGCTGCCCCATGGTGGAGACACACAGAAGGGTGGGAGAGGGACTCTATCTTTCATTGGAATAGTCTAGTAAGTTACCAGTTCTAACTTGGCATCTAGGACATATAAATCATGCATTTACTTATCCAGCAACCTTTTCTAAGCACCTTCTCTGTGTCAGGCCCTGTGCTAGGTGGAGCTGGAAGATATAGCTCACTTGCTTGTAAGGAACTTGAAGTCTGTGTGGGGGACAAATGTATAAACAGAAAATTACAGTTCACCATCTTAGTGTTCCAGAGGAAAGAAGCACTTAGTATGAGGTACCAGGAAGAGGTGGGGAGAAGGGAGTGGCTTTACATCCTTAAGTTCTGGGTGTTTGAAGAGCAGCCTTAGACACTAGCCACGGAGGTGGGCTTGGGTAGGCCCCGCCGTGGGGTTTGAAGACCCAAAAGATGTTGGGTCAAGGAGGACATGGGTGTCTAGTGTGGGAGCAAGCAGAAGGGTGAGCTCACCGAAGCACTGTTTTACCCACTGTACTACGTTTCTATTGCTGCTAAAACAAATTGCCACAAACTTAGTGGCTTAAAACAAGGGCGTTATCTTCCAGTTCTGGAGGGCAGGAGTCTAACTCAGGTCTCCCTGGGCTAGAATCGAGGTGTCAGCAGGGCTGGGTTCCTTTCTGGAGGCTTTGGGGGAGCATCCATTTCCTTGCCTTGCCCAGCTTCTAGAGGCCACCTGCATTCCTGAGTTCATGGCTCCCTTCTGTCTTCAAAGCCAACAACAGTGGGTGAGTCACTCTCACATTGTTTCACTTTGACCTCTTCTTTTATTTTTCTGAGACAGGATCTTGCTCTGTTGCCCAGGCTGAAGTGCAGTGACATGATTATGGCTCACTGCACCCTTGACCTCCAGGGCTCAAATGATCCTTCCATCTCAGCCTCCCAAGTAGCTGGGACTACAGGCATGTAGTACCATGCTCGGCTAATTTTTCTATTTTTTGTAAAGATGGGGTCTCGCTGTTGTCCAGGCTAGTCTCCAACTCCTGCGCTCAAGTGATCCTCCTGCCTTGGCCTCCCAAAATGGTGGGATTACAGACATGAGCCACCACACCCTGCCCACTCTGACCCTTTCTGCCTCCTGCTTCCACTCTTATAAACGTTTGCGATGACATTGGACCCACCTGGATAAACCAGGACACTCTCCCTATTTTAAGGTCAGCAGATTAACTTCCTGAATTCCATCTGCAACTTTTTTTTCTTTTTTTTTTTTTTTTGAGACAGGGTTTCAGTCTGTTGCCCAGGCTGGGGTACAGTGGAGCAATCATGGCTCACTGCAGCCTTAACAACAACTGGGCTCAAGTGATCCTTCTGCTTCAGCCTCCTGAGTAGCTGGGACTACAGGCACGTGCCACAACGCCCTTCAAATTTTATTTTTTGTAGAGATGGTGTTTCCCTATGTTGCTCAGGGAAGTCTTGAACTCCTGGGCTCAAGTGATCCTCCCGCTTTGGCCTCCAAAAGTGCTGGGATTACAGGCGTGAGCCACCGCACCTGGCCCACAGGCAGCTTAATTCCCTTTTGCCATGTAACCCACATATTCACAGCTTCTGGGGATTGTGATGTGGACATTGGGGGAGGCACTGTTCTGCCTCCCACACCCACTTTACCTTCAGGGTGAGGTCTCGGCCTGGCCTATCCTTTCATGGTATCTACCTGTAATCATGGGGAAAAGCCTTTAAAAATTAGGCAAGGGAATTAAAATCATCACGATAAGTAAAAGCAGGCAAGGAACTTGCTGGAGGAGAACAGAGATAGAATAAGGCAGAAGTGTCTATGTATGGGGGGGGGGAGTCAAAAGGGGTGGTGGAGGTGATTGAGGAATAAACAGATATGAATTGCTTATTTAAGGCTTGAACCTGGTGTCATGAGAGAAATGGTGGTGGTCTCAAAAGGGGCCATGGGGTGGGGCCACAGAAGAGACACGGCCCCATCTGCATGTTGACCATACTCAGGGTGGTGAGGAAACCAGCGCTGTCCTGCAGCTGGGGGAACCTCAGTGGTCTTTGGGGATGAGCCCTGAACCTCAAGTCAAGAAGTGTGAGTTCTAGTCCAGGTTTCAGCCACGGTGATTGAGTCATGCACGTGGGCCTCTGACCCCTCATCAGTAAACCGGGGGCTGGTCTAGATGACCCCAAGGCTCTCACATTCATTTCTGCACTCTTGGTCTCTGCTGGGCTTCTGGGACATCGGTTAGTATGGCCTTTTGTTAGGCACATGCCAGGACTGGGGCTGTGCAGGTGATGTGGAAGGGTTCCTGATTCCCTGTTCCCACTGGAGCCTGCTCTACAGAAGGAACCCCTTGGATGTTGCTGTCCCGGGCTTCAGCACTCAGAACTCCTTGCTCTTTGTGGCCATCCCAGCTCTCTCTGTCACGTGAGCCCTTGTCCCCAGCTGAATCACTATGATGAGTTGTATGAGCTTTGACAACAGGTGGGGGATGACATGCAGTCCCCCTGACCCAAAGGAGACTGAAACGAAGCACCTCTTGGCCAGGCCACCACGGTGCCCCACAGCCGCTTCACCGGCTGTCCCTTGTCATGGCCACGGGCCCAGACCTAGTTCCTCCTCAGTGACGGGGGGTTGGGGCCCCTACCTGCCCTCAGAGCCCTACCACCAGTGTTGGGCATTGGGGCTAGGCTGGAGCTGGGCTCTGAGCCCAGAGCTGGTGGTGGTTTCCAGGCCTGTGGGAGGGTGACAGTGAGGCTGTGCTGCCGCTATCACCTCCGGAGAGAGCGGTGCATGGGAGGTGGAAAGCACTGGACCTGGACTGTGGCTCAGTTGAGGGACACATGGCATGTACTTTTACCACACAAGTTTATTTAAATAAAAGTGAACACATATGCAGGCTGGTGCCCGAGGGGCAGGGGGTGGGGAGGGCAGGTGGGAAGCAGACAGACAATGGGGTCCAGGCAGAGTTTGTGTGGTGAACCAGGCTGCTGGAGGGAGTGGCTGGGGGCCTCAGGGCAGCGCTGGGATTCAGTGCTGGGGCAGGGGGCCTTGGGTGGGTGAGCCTGGTGCCAGGAGGTCATTTCCATCCCTCACATGCCCCCCTCCCTTTCCCTGACCCCCTGGGCCTACAGCACTACCTCCTCAGCCCCCTCTCCCTCTCCTGACATCAGCCTTCCCCTTAGCTACTGAGAAGCCAAAAGACAAAATAAATTAGAATGGGTGAGTCCTACCCCAGCCCCCAGCCATGGGGAAGGGAAGCCAAGCCAGGCACACTGCGCCGGAGCCCGTGCTGTCAGCTCTGGAAAAGAACAGGTAAAGTGCAAGGAGAATCCAGTAAGTAAAAATATACCAATGACTTTGTCAAATACACAGCTGCTGGCTGTCAGGAGCAGGTGGCTGGCTGGGGCGGGTGGCAGCAGCACCCTGGGAAGTGTTGGGCGACACAGCAGAGAGACAACGGAAATAAATAGGGTGGGTGTGGACAGGGGTCCCACCAACTGGGCCAGCACCACCCAGGACGGGCTTCTGCCTGCTTTCCGGCCCCATGCCCCCAAGCCCCCCTCGCCTGGCTCCCCAGTGCTGCAGCACTGACACAAAGCACCCGGCCGACCGTGTTAGGAAAGGACTATAATGTGGGAGTGGAGCAGGGAGGGAGGCACGGGGAAGCTGTGCAGTCAGCCAGGGCTGCGGCCGCCCTCAGTACTCGTCCTGGTCTTCTTGTTGATGCTCTTCAATCTCATCGTCCTCAGGGGGTGCGAATCCTTCCTGGAGGGTGGGAGAGAGAGGAAAGTGGTGGGCCAGGCAGGCCAGGCAGGGCTTCTCAGGTTCTGTAAGTAGCTGAAGAGCAAGGGGTCAGGAGTCCAGGAGCCCTGCTAATGGGTGACCCTGGGCTAGTGACTTCACCTCTCTCTCATCAGTAAATGTTCTCCACGGTCCCTTCTGGCCCTATCGCGCTTCTGGTCTTAGGGCCAGGCCAGACTGGGGAGGGCCCAATGGGCCTGGGAGTGCTCACCTCTGTGGCATAGAGGATGCCAATGATGCCTGAGATAACAGGGCTGTTTTCACTTTCATGCTCCTGGCAGATGAGCTCGATGTCACGAAGTTTGCTGAAGTAGAAGTCACGTTCCTTCTCCAGCCCATCCACTGTCAGCTTCAAGTCCACCAGCTGCTTGGGGACAAAGTGATGTTCAAGCCAGAGGTCCCCACCTCAGGTTCCCCTGCCTGCCCTCCTCTCGTCCCTGCAGACACCCCAAGGGCCTGGCTTTGGTGACAGGGCTATCTCAGCTACCCTTACCCATCCCACTCACCTGTTGGTTGAGTTCAAGAATTTGGGCATCAGTCTCATGGCCGCCATTTCGGGCTGATGGAGGATTCTTCCGGAGAATGCAGGGGGGGGCCACATTGCTCAGCCGGCCAGAGGTCTGCATGTTTTTTGGGCCTGTGGGGGACGTCCTCTGTGGAACTGCCCAGAGGAAAAGAGTCAGGTAAGTCCACGTGAGCCCACAGCGCACGTGGCAGGAGACAGCCTGGTGTGAGGACTGCGGGGGCAGGCCCATGCGACAGGCAGGCACTCTCACCCCCCTGCCCCCACCCCAGGAAGGGCATCTACAGCTAGGCCCCGAGTCTTGGCCACATGGACACTCCAGCAGCTGGGCAGCCCTTTGGCGAGCCCGGGAGAGCAGAAACTATAGGGAACTAAACAAGGTGTGAGGTGTTGGGGCAGGGAGAGAGCTGGCCTGAGGGATAGAGGAGAGAAATTAGGACGCAAATTTGGGGAAGTAGAGTTGGAAGGGTGCGGGACCCTCTCGTACTCATAGCTAGAGGAAAGGCAGCTGGCACAGGGTCTTTCCTAACAGAAGCCCCAGCCCAAAGCCATTGTCCCTGGGTGGCTGCCCCTCCAGGGGCCCTGTGTCAGGATGGGCTCTTTTGCCCTCTGCTGGGCTGGACCAGGTATCTGCACAGTGGTGGCCAAATCAGGGACCCCAGCTCCTCCCCAGCGCAGCCAGCATGCCGTGGCGACTTGCTCACTAGCGACTGCACCTCCCTAGACAGAGCGGGCTGCTTCTAGTGCAAAGCAAGCAGGCGGGCGAGTGGGGCAGGCCCAGGCAGAACAGCAGTGCAGACAGAGGAGGTGGCTCTGCTATGACGGGGTCCGACGCGGGCTGGGGCTGCTCCTCTCCCTTCCCCTCCCAACGCTGCTGCTTCCCAAAGGCCCTATTGCTTTTCTCCCTTCCCCTCCAGGACCCAGACAAAGCCTCGTTTCTAGAGACTCATCTTTTGAGGACTTAGGACTATTGGGCCTTTAGAGTGGGGAAAGGTGTGATCCAGCTTGGCAACTCCTGCCCCTGGCCATCCAGGGGGCAGGGGGCAAGAAGGGGCTGTGGTGCTGGCACCAGGCTCTTGGTCTGGATGCACCTGGATGGAGAAACCAAGCCACCTTGCTGCCCCATCATCTTGAGGCAAACAAGTTAGCTCGTGCTATGAAACAAAGTGCCTTGGGCCTCCTACCCCAGTTGCCACCATGGCTGGTGCTGGTGGCTCTCCTCTTAGACCAATTTGTGGAGCTCTCTCACCCACTACTTTCACTCCCCCGGTCTAACTGGCCAGCAGGCGGCGTCATCCGAACTCCGTGATAACAAGTCTCCTCCAGGCTGGCAGGGCCGGGCCGTGGCCCAGGGGGCACTCCTGGCTATAGAGGCCTGCCGGCCCGGCCCCCCACGCTCCCTCCCCCGGCTCGGGCACGTTACCTGCTGTGCCAATGAGTTTCTTGGATTTGTTGAAGATCTGATCACCTGGGTTAGGAGGTGGCGCTACGTCCTGGCCCTGCCGCGCCAGCAGAGGGTTGTAATCCTTTCCATCATAGTTTGCGTCAAAGAATTTCTTAAACCACTGAATAAACTCAAAATTATCTTGGAATTTTCCTTTCACTAATTTCTCTACAGGAATGATCTGAAATAGACCACATAAGCAGAGTACTTTAGCCACCTGCTGCTGTAGGACCGCCTTCCTCTGCTGAGGGCCACTGCTCTCAGGAAAGCCAGCCCCTGGGCTGCAGCGTCCTCCACCTTCTCCACTTGCCCCCCTCCCACGGCACCAGAGCAGACAGGTAGGCTGGTAGGCCCTAGTGTCAGATCCAGAGGCATCCCTTCTCTACAGGCACCGTGTGGAAGAACTGTGTGGGGAGGCGTCCCTTGGCTCTACTGCCTGCGTGTGGGCTGGGGGTCTGCAGCCACCGAGGCAGTAGAGTGAGCAGAGACACTTTCTTGGGCCCTACAGAGACAGAGAGAGGTGGAACTTCACAGGAGCGGTGCACAGAGCTCAGTGTTGGGGTGGGCAGGGTCCAGAGAGGAGGAAGGGAAAGGAATGTTGTCATGATGGCATGGCAAGTGTTGTGGGCTTTTCCATTGTGCCTTGAGCAGGGGGAAAATTCCCTCTGGAGAGTCGGGAGGTGGAGGGAGGCACGAGCACCGGAATGACCCCAGCAGCCCCAGTTGCCTGGGCTGGTGGGTCCTCTTCTTCCCCAGGGTCACACTGCTCCTCAGGGCCCCCCAGAGCGCAGGCACCTACTTTGTCAACACCCATCTTCTTGAAAGCTGCTTGCAGCACCTTGAAGTTGTGGATGTATTCGTGCTCTAGTTTGGCCTGGAACTTCACTTTCCTCAAGTGCACACAGCCGGGGAAGAGCATGTCCATGAACTGGCAGTAGGCTGCCCCTGTGGAGAAGGATGGCTGGCTGAGGGGTCTTGCTGCTCTCCTTCTGTGAGCTGCTCTCTCTCACTTCCCCAAACCCCGTCTCCTCTTCTCTCTCCTTGTTCTGGGCCAGGGACCAGTCCTACTTTCAGGATAGACATGGCCAGAATCCCCCCAGCTTTCCAAGAATAAAAGCAATGACTATTTATTGATGCGTATTATGAACCAGCACCACACCAAACACTGCATGTAGGTAGGGCAATCCCAACAGGAACTCTAGTTAGTTGGTGATACTATCTCCATCTTATGGATGAGAAAACTGAGGCCTAGGGCAGTATAGTGACTTGCCCAAGGTTGCACCACCAGAAGAGCTGAGAGCTGGACCCAGAGAGGTGTGGTCAGACCTGTGGCTCTGCTGCCATCCTGGCTCTCAGCTCCCCGCTCCTCCTTTCCCTGCAGTCCTTCATGGTGCCTCTCCTGCTCTTCTCTTTCCCTGCTTCCATTTCTTGACTTCAGCTCCAGACAGTCTGACTAGTTCAGGGCCTCCAGCTCTCCTCCTTAATCTAATCACAAGCTACAGCTATGGGCTGCATAACGATGGTTTGGTCAACGATGAACCACATATATGATGGTGGTCCTACAGGATTATAATACCATGTTTTTATTTTATTATCACCTTTTCTATGTTTAGGTATGTTTAGATGTGCAAATACTTACCATGTGTTAAAACTGTCTGCAGTATTTAGTACAGAAACATGCTGTCCATGTTTTTAGCCTAGGAGTAGTAGGCTATACCATATAGCCGAGGTGTGTAGTAGGCTACACCATCCAGGTTTGTGTAAATACACTCTGTGATGTTCACACAACAACAACATCGCCTAAGGATGCATTTCTCTGGCCACATCAGTCATTCAGCCATGCATGACTGTATATTCCCTGTTGTGGCTGCTCTGCCTTCCGACCTTTCTTTCCTTTCCTTCCAGCAGGGCCACTTCCCATATTCCCAGCCTCCTACCTGAACAAAGCTGTTCTATCTTGGTATAGTTGAGGTGCAGGGAGTCGTTGACCCATGCAAGCATATCATGGCGACTCAGATTTTCACTGGTCACAGATGTGGAGTACACATTGACGGCCATACCCCAGCTGGAAAGCAAGAAGAAAGGTGAGGTCAGCACTGGGGCCTCATGTAGCTCCTTAGCTGTCAAGAGAGAGGGGCTGTATGATACTGGGAAGTAAGAAACATTCCCTCCAGATTGGCCTCGCAGTTTATCCCCAGAGGGAGGGTCTTTATTCCTTAGACATTTCATGAGCATCTACTATATGCTAGACGTGCACCAGGAGCCAGTAATTCCAAGTTAATTAAGAAATGGCCTCTGCCTTGAGGCATTTACAGACAGGCAGATCCCCTCAGTAGGGAGTGATGAGGCAGTGAAACAGGCACATAAATGTTCAGGGACAGCACAAAGAAGGGTGTGAGCGCATCTGCTGGGCAGGGTCAGCGAAGGCTTCAGAGCAGAGATGTTGGAGCCTGAGAAGAATAGGAATTTTCCAGACATAAAAAGGGATGGGTGGAAGGCATTTCAGCCACAGGGACTAGCAAGAACAAAGGCAGAGCTTATTCCGGGCACTCTGAGTCGTGGAGCAGGCCCGGGGAGCAGATTTTTCTGTTGGGGTGTGGCACAATGAGGTTGGCAGGGACAGGTTGCCAGGCCCTTGTTTACCAGAAGGAGGAATCTGGACTTTCTATTTGGATGACAGGAAGCCATTAGAGGGTTTTAAGCGACAGTAACCTGACCAGATTTGTGTTTTAGAAAGCCAGCTAACCTTTGCCTCTGCTCCGACTTCAGACTCCACATTCCTGTGGCTGATGCAGAGGCATCTAAATTCTGCTTGTCCACAACCTTTCCTTAGAATATGCTTCTGGCTCCTGTATTCATTATCCCAGTGAATGTCATCACCAGCAATTAATCACCACCTTAGAAACCTGCGGGGTCATCCCAGACAGCTTACTCTCCCTCATGCACCTATCAAGTCATTCCTCAAGTCCTGGAACCCGACTTCCTCAATTCGCCCTTTTCTGCTTACCCTCAGGATTTATGCATACCGTTGTCCCTTGGTATTCATGAGGGAATTTGTTCCAGAACATCTCCCCATACCAAAGTCAATGCACAGTCAAGTCCCTTATATAAAATGATGTAGTATTTACAGTTAACCTACACACATCCTCCTGTATGATTTAAATCATCTCTAGATTACTTATAATACCTACTACCATGTCACTTCGATGTAAATAGTTGTTATACTGTATTGTTTAGGAAATCATGACATGAAAAAAAAGTCTGTAAGCAATGCAACAATCCTTTTTTTTTCCTGAATATTTTTGATCGGTATTTGATTGAATCCACAGATGTGGATCCCACGGATGTGAAGGGCTGACTGTATTTTCTCTCTAGCCCAGGCTAGCAGGAGCCTCCTAAAAGGCCTTCCAGCCTCCAGTCTCTCCCTCCTCTTAATCCATCCTTGACATTGCTGTAGTCAGAATCTACCTAAAAGCAGGTCTGGCCACCGCCCTCCCCCACTTCAAGTCCTTTCAGCCAGCAGTCATAAAAGAGACACTCCTTGGCCGAATTTGCCTTGCAGACTTAAACTGTTCAGCACTCATAGTGTTGGAAACAGTTTTGAATTAGTGCCCAATATTTTAAAGTTCAGATGTTTAACAACTTGGGATTTCTGGCTTCTTTTGGCCACTCTGACCCTATGCTCCCGCACTGAAACCAGCAGTTGGAGTGGAGCCAGCAGTGAGCCTCCTTCCCACCCCAGAGGCCAAGGGTCAGCTGCTGCTGCTAACTGACTTGCGCTGTTAAGAAAAGGACATATTTCTTGTAACCACATCTTTATCAGAAATGGAAAAACAAGATAGGTCAAAAGGACTGTGTTTTCCGAGAATTGTGAGGACATGTGTTTCTGGAGTGAGTGAAGAATATTTCTTCAGGTTTAATATGTAAAGTGTCTCTGTGAAATAAGATACATCTTATACACCTTATATTCTTACAGAAAGAATATTTCCCTGCCTGTCGCAGGCATCTGCTGTTATCATGTGACTCCTCCTGACCACTTATCAAACTCATAAGGGGACCCCACCTCTTCAGCCTTATCTCCTACTTTGATTCCCCAGTTAGGAGCTATAGGCAGCTTCCTACTCACCCTCTGTCTGGAATGCCGTCCCCACCCCAAAGTTCATTCATTCTCTGTTCCATGGTTCTCAATTGTGGCCCCAGACCTGCGCAGTGGGACTATATGGGGATCAGCTGGTTAGAAATTCCAATTCTCTTGTCCTCCCCCAGACCTAACTAAATGAGAAACTGCCTTTGACCAAGATGCCCGGAGGATCTGCAGGCACAGTCCTGTTTGAGTAGTACTGCTTTAGACAGGGAGGCTCAGCAAGGCATCTGCAGAGCTGTGTGCCACTTACGTTCCCACCCCTGACCCCAAGTACATAGGACAGAGCATGTTTAACTTAAATGAATGCTTTGAAGAAAAATCATGAGAGAAAACCCTCTTCTTTATTCCTAGTTCTTCCTCCTTTGAAAAATAAACCTTGTCCTTCATTGCCCAGGCAAAGGGAGGCCAGGCGGGGCCAAAAAGCCAAGAGAAACAGAAATGAATTATTGTCTTGGGAGCGCCTAAAGACTCAAGACCTGGCAATTTCAGAGCTTTCCGAGAGTAATGTTGACTGCACTTGAGTTTCCTCCTCCACAACGTCTCTGCGCCCACTGCCCTGCATCTTGGCCCTTGCGCTCACCATTGGACTTGTTTAAATGCCTGCGCCCCATGTCTTGAAGCCAAGAGTGGGGTATCCAGGCCTGTCACAGGCAAGACGTTCAGTAACGTTGAACCATTGAGTGATGCCTCATGTCCTCTCCTCTTTCTGAATCATGTCTCATCACCTTCTGGCCTGGGTCCCCCTGCCATCCCCCTGCCATACCCCCACCATCCCCCCGCCATCCTCCCTCCCCCAGCACTCAGCCTCAGGACTCTGCTTTAGCTCCAGGGGACTTTTTCTGACCCCCTCTGTGGGAGACATGTGCCCATGATCCTACAGCACCCTGGGCACGGCTCTTCATGGCATCCCACATGGTCTGTTGAAATCATGTGTGTGAGAGCGGGTGCGGTGGCTCATGCCTGTAATGCCAGCACTTTGGGAGGCTGAGGGGGGTGCCGATCACCTAAGCCAGGAGTTCAAGACCAGCCTGGCCAACATGGCAAAACCCTGTCTCTACTAAAATTAGCCAGGCCTGTAATCCTAGCTACTAGGGAGGCTGAGGCAGGAGAATTGCTTGAACCCAGAGGTGGAGTGTTGCAGTGAGCCAAGATCATGCCACTGTACTCCAGCCTGGGTGACAGAGCCAGAATCCATCTCCAAAAAATAAATAAATAAATAAATAAATAAATAAATAAAAATGTGTGTGCCTGCCCCTTCCACCTGACTGTAAGCTCTTCAATGGTCAGGCTCTGTTCCATTCACTTTCGGGTTCTACACCAGTTCTTGGTGGATAATAACTGCCTAACCATATTGGTGGAGTGGAATTGCAGACTGGAGTCAGGGGAGTGTTTCTGAGTTCCCAGGATGCACCTAAAGTAACAGGAGGAGGAGTGGATGGGTGGATGGATGCTAAGCTTGCCGAAGGGGCAGAGTGGGTAGGGTCAAGGAAAGGGCATCTGATTTTGATGAGTATTATTTAGTTGTGGACTGCAAGAAATTGAAAAGATTTGTCCCTGTCCTCAAGGAGTTCATAATCTTATTGGGGAGAGTAATGCACACATGAGAACAGTATAACCAAATGCCCCAAAGTGTGCTAGAAACAGCAAGTGCCACAAGAATAGGGAAGGAGAGGGCATGCAGAGGTAGAGAGATGGATGTGAATGACCCCAGGGCCACAGTGGTCAGACTCTGCCAGGTCCCCAGGGAGGGTGCAGAGGACGGCCAGGAGCTGGTGCAGAGGGCACCAGCTATTCCGGGAACTGTCCAGAATGACTCTGCAGGAGTGTTCCACAGGCTCAGAGACTCATTTCCCTATGAGGCCCCTGGGGCAGAGTGATTCTGGGCCAGCTGTGGCTGACAGGCCTCAGAGGGGCTGATCTGGTCTTGGGTGGTTCTGGGGGCAAGGAGTAGTCTTAGGTTGGCCCTGGGAGTTTCCGAGCCACTTTAGGGACTTTGTTCTGCTTAAAGTGTATGAATTTCAAGGGGTGACTACTGAAGAAAAGGAAAGGCAATGGTCTTAGTCCAAATATATCCTCCAGTTTTTGATTGAAATCATTTGAGCCTCAAGGGTCTTCCAGCCTGGGGGCAGCTTTCCTGGTTCCACAGGATTGGACCTGCTAATGGTTCAGGCCTCTTCCATGCATTGCAGAGATTCTTTACTAGGAGAGTCCACTGGCTTCTCCTGCAGAGACTTCAAGAGGCTACAGTGCAGCCCAAGTGTGTGTGTGTATGATATATTATATATACATTATATGTTATATGCACATATTTTACACACACACACACACATAATTTTAAAGAATAGCCCAGATGATTCTGGTGCACAGCCCTGTATGAGAACCACAGCCTTCATTTGATATGCATACTTAGCTGTGATTTACTGGCTTTTGTTGCAATGGCAAAGGCTGGAACATTGGGATGTTCTGCCACTTATCTGGGGGGAAAATACTAGCCAGTCCTTGGCACACAGGGAAAATCTCCAGTTTCCCTGGAGTTTAGAACACAACTAAAGGCCTTGCTTTTAGGGCTCCCAAGAGTCACTAAGAGCCACATAGCGGCTTGAAAAATGCCCAGGTCTTCTCAGCATTGACCCAGTCTTGTCAATGCCTGATGAAGGGAGGGCATTTTCCATACCTTCGGTCTGACTCTAGGGTCCCATGAGTGGCAGCAGTGCCTGTGTGAAGGAAGCTGGAAAAAATGGCTCCTTTCAGGACCCAGCAACGAATCATGCTGTTACCCACTATGGGGCTTCTGGGGAAGCAGGTAGCTAGTAGCAGGAACACAGCTTCAGTCCCTACTCAGGACTCGCTCAGGTCCTCACAACTGGTGCTACACTCTGCCCTAATGGGGGTCCATTTGGCTCAGGAGGACTCATCCAGGGCACCCAGGGGTCTCTGCAGGAATTCTCTGCTGCACCTGCTAGGGCAGCATGAAGTAACAGCCTCCTTGTTTCCTTTGAGCAAACATCACATTGGGGAGGGCAGGATGCCCTTTTAATTTTCCTCTCGTAGCTTTGGCTCTGTAAGTAGAACTAAACATGGCCAGCAGGTGGCACCCAGGTCCTGAGCAAAAACTCCTTTAAATGTATCCCCCATCCCCCAAACCCCCTTTCCAGAGCTCAGTTTAGAGCTCAAATTGGGAGCCTCTAAAAGCTGGGCTGGCTGAGGGGCCTGGAGCATTGGGGCTGTTCTAAGATCCTGGACTGAACTAAGCCAGCCTCCGTATCCCCTAAAACCACAGTTTGAACTCACCAAAGAGGTCCAACTTCTGATTGGCTTTTGCATTGGGGGTTGACTTGGGCCTGGACTCACACCAGACCAGCTGCTGGGGGCAGAGGTGTATAAAGTATTTGCCCAAGCATCAGGGTCTAAGTGGACCAGCTGCCTCCAATTACAGCAAAGACATAACCTGCCAGGCGCGGTGGCTCACGCCTGTAATCCCAGCACTTTGGGAGGCCGAGGTGGGCGGATCATGAGGTCAGGAGATCCAGACCATCTTGGCTAACACGGTGAAACCCCGTCTCTACTAAAAATACAAAAAATTAGCCGGGCACAGTGGCGGGCACTTGTAGTCCCAGCTACTCAGGAGGCTGAGGCAGGAGAATGGCGTGAACCCGGGAGGCGGAGCTTGCAGTGAGCCAAGATAGCGCCACTGCACTCCAGCCTGGGCAAAAGAGCGACACTCCATCTTAAAAAAAAAAAAAAAAAAAAAGACATAACCTGACGAAACTCTTAATAATAACACACTTGTTCCCAAGAGCTCCTTCACCTCCCCGGAGAGAATGGTAGGTAGCCACTCGGAGGGGGCAGGCTCTGTCCCAAGAGATGTAGTAGCAGTGTCTTCCAACCCCATCCACATGTTTCTACCATGATCTTTGGCACATGTGACTGTCAGGAGAAACAGACCCTGATTGGATTGTGGCATGTCATCATCCAGGCGGATCCCCATTCGAGGATCAGACCGACAACGTGGCTTTGGGGAAAGCCTGCTCTGAAGGGCCTCGACTCCTGCTATCAGGAATGGAGCCAAGGGAAAGAAAAGTTGAGGAGGTTTAATCTGGTGATTTTGCTGAGTCATTTCCTATACTAGGACTGTAAGGTTCATGGTGCATTCACAGGCAACTGGGAAAGGCAATTACAGCTCTCATTGCGGGAGGGGAAGCTGCTGGTCATTCTGCAGACTGAGGCCTTAAAAATGGTCATCAAGACCAAATCCCACTAACCCATGGTCAGAAGGGTTTCTAGAGACCATCTGCTTCCTTCCCAGGCGATTAGGACTGCACTTAGATCTAGGCACTTATATTCTTAAATCATAAAGATGGCCAATAAGTCTGCACAACTGAAATTTCACATTCTATTATTTAATGACCTTATCACCAGCCTAAATCTAATTTTGGCTTTTTGTTTTTAAATCTGTCTTCCACAAATATGTCTTAAGGGTAATTTAGGGGCCCTCAGTCTTCTCTAATTCTCTAGAGCTCTTTTTACCCCAAGTTTAGCCCTGTTCTGGCTGGTCCCTGGAAGAACCCCCTGCAGTTTCCAGGCCTCCACCCTCTGCCCAGCGTGGCTATGAAAGACACACCAGGTCTACCAGTCCTGAAGGAGGTGGCCAGCATGCCTCCAGCAAGCTCCAGAAAGGTAGTGCTTAAGAACACTAGATCTCCAGGCACATCAGGTGGGTTCAAATCCTAGTTGTACCATGTCCTAGCTGTCTGACTTGACTTTAGGTCTCAGTGTCCTCATCTATAAAGTGAGGACAGTGACAGCTCCCACCTCACAGAACAGTTATGAGGATTAAGTGAGCCATGTGTACACAGTGCTGAGCACAGAGCCTGACATTCAGTATGTATTTGGCAAGTGCTGTCAGCATCGCGGGGACAGACAGTGAGAATCTAAGGGCATTTGTTCGAGGAGTAGGTGCCTGACACACAGCCAGCCTCTGGTCTCAGACCATGGAAATGCCAGTCCAGAAAGGAGACAGACTACAGAACTTTTCTCTGCTGCTTTGCCTTGAGACAGCCACATGGGCTTCCCAAAGCTGGGCTCTGACCACAATCCCTCCCCAGCTCCAGATTTCCCATATAGCCTGCTTTGTAGACGCCATCCTACCGGCCAAGACAACTGGAACAGATGCTGTGGGATCAGAAGAGAGAGAACTCCACAGAGCCAGCCAACACGTTTCCCGTTCCTGAAGTGGGACTATGCCCATTGTCACTGGGCTACCCCTTCCTGCCCAGGCCCGGGGGCTGAAGTCACCTGTTTGGAAAATCTGCAAAATTGCTACCCCTACCCCTGTGAGTCACACATCCAGGTTATTCTGGGCTTGCATGGAGGCAGTATGTGCAGGTGGGGCTGAGGGGTTCTGAGGGGCTGGGGAGCAAGCCAGCGGGTCACAAAGCCCTGGCAGACCTGGCCAATCACCTTCTTCTTATGGCTGAGCAAGGACCTGATTCATTGAGAGGCTCAGCCTCTCAAAGCTGGATTAATCAATGCAGAGACGGGGCAAGTGGAGTATTTGCAGGGTTGGCCTGGAGCCCAGCATGCGCCCCCTCCCACACATCCAGGACAGGGATCTGGACGGCTGTGGGTTCAGGTAGGGACTGAAACTCCTCCAGGATTTTGTTCTCACAACACTTTTAGGTCACAACTCTAAGACCCTGAGCCCTGCTGAAGTTCCAGCCACTGGGATCCTGGACATGTCCTGCTGAATAATGATCTGAACTCTTACTAAGGCTCTCCCCAGGCTGGTTGGGATAATGGTGCCACATCCCTGTAGCTGCTAGCCAGGGAAGGAGTCCTTGGGGTAGGTTCTGGCTAGGTCACCCTATCTGACCATAACTTCGAGGGTTAACGGAAACCCTGCAGTATAGTAAACAAAATTTCTCATCGCTAAAATCAATCCATTTCAGTAGGGTTCATCTAGGTGGGCAGATAGGCAATATTTTCTTTCTAAACGTTCTTTGCTGGAGATCTTTCAGTTCCTCAAACACCTACTTTTTAGGTCAACAAATGTCCATGGAGTCACCCATCAATCCAAGGCTCCCAGCAGAAGGCAGACAGTGTGACTTGGCTACAGGCTTTGCCATTCGCTGCCTGTGAGACACAAGCAAGTAGGCGAAGATATCCAAGCCTCAGTTCTCATGAAGCATCAGAATGATGGTATGATTGAGCATGGGGCTGTTGGAAGGATAATGAGTACCGCTGGCAGGAGCCAAAGGTTCACCATCACGCTGCTTTGGGGGCTGAGCAACCTTTACTGATAGGCAAGATCACTGACATAGACATATCTGACTCAACATCTTCTTTCCTGCACCCTGACCCAATTCCCACAGACCCTCTGATCAGGGTCCTGAGCAGGGAGAGAGTAGGGACAGCCTTGGGTATCCACTCTCTGCTGCCTCAGGCAGAAAGACAGAGCTGTGCTTTTGAAGCTATGTTGCCCATTTCTTCCCTCAATTAGTACTGGCTCAGGGCTCAGTGCACAATAGCTTCTCAGTACCTATATATTTATTGAATGAATGAATGAATGAATGGGAGAGGTTAAACTAGGGTTTGGGGGGTTCAGATGGCAGGTGGACTCAGAAAGTGTGGTTTTCTGCTTTTATTTCTTGTTTGTTGACCCTGAGGAGGTGCCACTGGCTACATGGAGAAGCAAGGAGAGGAGAATGCTAGCTGCACTCCCTGGCTACACGCAAACAGATGCAGCACGAAGCCTTGGGAACCTTGGCAAGGGATTTAAACAGTCTCCCTCTAATGCATATAACATGGTGCTGCTGGATTTCCCAGAACAGGATTTTAAGATGGTTCCGAGAGTGGAACCTGGTAACTCCTGGGAGCACCTCTCTGCTTGGTCTGCTCTGGGGGTGGGCTGCTGGCCCATCTGTGGCTAGCCTCAGGATAGAGGGAAGGGAGCTGCAGCAGCTGCCATGACGTGTTGGGAAGGGAACTGTCATGTTTGCAGCAGCCCTGGTGGGTCTGATGTTTTTTTAATTATCCTTCAAGTTCCAAAAGCACATCCATGTCTCTGGGGACACATAACAAGCCATGTCACTTTATGTTCCTTTGGAACTATGTCTCTTTGGACTGTCTGGCTTATAGTTGTTGTTCAGGGCCAAGTGATGTGTCACCCTTCTCTGAAATGTCTGCATCCTGTGAATTGTTTAGCCTACTTTCCCCTGACCCCAGGCTCAGGCCCCTCTTCTCTGCTCTCACCATACCTTTCACCCCACATCCAGTCCCCTCCCAAAATCCTCCCAGTTTTACTTCTGTGCCCTTTTGAGAGGGCACAGTCATTTATACTTTAAGCTTTCCACCAGAAAGTCGGATGCTGAAGATGTCCAGGACAAACTTAAGTTTCAGTGTTTGTTGAACTCTCTGTGCCCTCTCCAGTAGACTGCCTTTCCTCATGCCCTCAGACTCTACTCTACCTGCCTGTTCTGCAGGACTAACCCCACGTGGAGACAGTCAGCCCCCACCCCAGTGGGGACATGCACTGGAGAGCTTCCAGAAGGCCTGCAGATAGCTTCTCTCCTGCCCTACCATAGTGCCCGAAATTCCCACCAGAAATGCCACTCTTGTGGATTACAGCATCCAGCTCCAGAAAGCCTTTGAGTTGTTACCTCAATTTTGCTTTTGAGGAAATGAAGGATGAGGATTCCAGTGACTTTTCCAAGTTCAAGATCAACCACTGGCAAGATCAGAGCTGAACCTGGCCAAATGAACACAAATCCCATGCTCTTTCCACACCACCACACTGGTGCAGGAAGGACGATTTGATTTTTCACAGCTCTAGAGCAGGATGACTTGCCCAGATTTCACCCCTTGAGAATTAGGAGGAGGGAAAGGGAATTTCAGAGGATTTCTTCTTCTTCTTCTTTTTTTTTTTTTTGAGATGGAGTCTTGCTCTGTCACCCAGGCTGGAGTGCAGTGGCATGATCTCGGCTCACTGCAACCTCCACCTCCCAGGTTCAAGCAATTCTCCTGCCTCAGCCTCCCGAGTAGCTGGGATTACAGGCGTCCATCACCATGCTTGGCTAATTTTTGTATTCTTAGTAGAGATGGGGCCACCATATTGGCCAGGCTGGTCTCAAACTTTTTACCTTGTGATCTGCCTGCCTCGGCCTCCCAAAGTGTTGGGATTACAGGCATGAGCCACCATGCCTGGCCCAGTTTTCTTCTTTATACTTATTTTTTCAAGACATTGCAGCATTGCCTTAACCTCTCTCTTTCTTTTTTTTTTTTTTTTTTTGAGATGGAGTCTCGCTTTGTTGCCCAGGCTGGAGTACAATGGCATGATCTCAGCTCACTGCAACCTATACCTCCCTGGTTCAAGCAATCCTCCTGCCTCAGCCTCCCGAATAGCTGGGATTACAGGTGTGTGCCACCACACCCAGCTAATTTTTGTATTTTTAGTAGAGATGAGGTTTCACCGTATTGGCCAGGCTGGTCTTGAACTCCTGACCTCAAGTGATCCACCTGCCTCAGCCTCCCAAAGTGCTAGGATTACAGGCATGAGCCACCAGGTCCGGCCTAGCATTGCCTTAATCTCGACCAGCAAGTGCTTACTGACCACTGACAAAATGCTCAACACCCAGTGAGGCATCATGAGGACATGGGATCATTTCAAGGCATGGGTCTTGTCTTTATTAAGGAGCTTTTCTTTGGTTGAAGAGGTAAGAGTAATTTATAAAATAACAAGGGACGCCACAAAGCAGAATATATGAAGTGCTAAATAGTGAAAGCACCTTTGGCTTTTAAGTGTTCCAGGCACATGAAAAAGATGAGAGGGGGATCAGCAGTTAGAGGGTTTCTGGAGGAAGGTGGCACCTAATTGGGCCTTTAAAGATGACAGGATGCCAGAAAGCAGCGAGGAGAAAATGGGAAATTCTGGACATGGGAAACATATTTATTATTACTTTTATTTTAAAAAAAGAGCATAAGACCAATGACTCAGTCCTGGAGGAATGTTAGGGACGCGATGAAAATAGAGGAGGTGGAGAGAAGGTGATGTCTTAGGAGCCAAGGGAGGGCCCACTTTCAAAGAGGAGGTCATCTGCCCTGTTTAATGAAGCTACCAGACCAGAGGTGGCGATATGGTCATTAAATTGTGCAATAAGAAATGATGAAACTCTGAGTCATTTTGTTGGAGTATGGGGACAGCAGCTAGACCTGCAGATGATTGTGGAGTCCTTGATCACTTGCCCAGGAGGAAGCTGGAGAGGGACATCAGGCATTTGTCATCACAGCCATGTGTGTCTGCTGCAGCACTTCAGGTAGATAGTGAGTGACTGCCTGCAGGGTGGAGAGCATTTTGGTTCTTTCAGTTAAAATTTGAAATGAAATATAGATTGGGCCCGGGTGCTGTGGCTCATGCCTGTAATCCCAGCACTTTGGGAGGCCGAGACAGGTGGATCACCTGAGGTCAGGAGTTCGAGACCAGCCTGGCCAACATGGCAAAACCCCACCCCTACTAAAAATACAAAAATTAGCTGGGTATGGTGACACGCACCTGTAATCTCAGCTTCTTGGGAGGCTGAGATAGGATAATGGCTTGAACCCGGGAGGTGGAGGTTGCAGTGAGCCAATATCACACCACTGCACCCCAGCCTGGGCAACAAAGAGTGAAACTCCATCTCAAAAAAAAAAAAAAAAAAAGAAATACAGATTAAAAGTAGGCTTGTGCTCCTTATCTCAACATCTCACCCATCCCCCTTCAGACTCCATATCCTACCCTCAAGTTCTAGATTTTATCTGTCCAAGAAGACCCATGAGTGCGACTCACGATCTTTCTCCAGCTACTCACAACACTGTATCACAAATGAAAAGCAAGATAAGAAATGTGTTTATATAATAAAGTCTTAACTAAGTTGAATGTTTGGAAAATAATGTTGTACATATTGATTAACTTTGTTTAACTGTGGTTAATCAGAGCCCTTTTTAATGTTTGGTTTTGTGGAAAATTACTGTATTAAGGCAGGAAGAATAGACAAAATTGCTTTCTAAGGACATTGCAGAGCCTCAGATTCAATCAGTCACTCATCACCATTTGTGGAGTGTGTGCTTCAGCACCCAATGCTGTGTGCCAGCCCCTGTGCCAGCACAGGACCTATAGGAAGAAATGAACCCACTCTGGGCCCTCGAGAAATTAATGAACTTAGGTGAGAGCTGGACAACTGAACGAAATAACCAAAGGGCAACACATCATGCTCCAACTCCAGATACAGGAGCTGCTGGAGCAACTCTGCTTCCTGCATCAGGGAAAGCTTTGTAAAGGAAACATGGTTTGAACTGGGTCTTGAAGGAGAAACTCATCAGGCAGGTAAGAGTTAAGAGGAAAGGGGAATGCATGGGGAGGAAGGAAAGGACTGCAAGTAGCTCATCCCAGAGTCATGCTGGGGCAGAAGGTGATGTGGCTAAAAAGGCAGACGAAAGCCACATCACCAGTAGCTCTGTATGCCATTGTTAAGGAGTTATTTTATCTAGAAGGGAAACTCTCCAGAGGATTTTCTTTTCAGGTACACAGTATTTTAGTCAACAATACAAAATATTGCTAATACTATAGTTAAAATAATTTCCAAATCAAAATTACAACAAATGAAATTACAGTGCTTAGAAACTGCATTCAATTTATAATTCTGCAGAGGATTTTATATTATCTTTTCTAGTAAAAGCTGAAGAGATTCCCAAGAGAGTCCCTCCAATTTTCTGTAAACTTTTGTACTTTGAAATGATTTTAGACTCACAGTTGCAAAACAGAACAAATAATTCTCATGTATTTCATGTCTACTCATCCAGCTTCCCCCAGTAACATCTTACATAACAATTATTAAAACCAGGAAATCCACATTGGCACATTTGTAAGTAAACTACAGACCTTATTTGGATTTCATCAGTTTTTACATGCACTCTTTTTTTTGGCATATACTCCATGAAATTTTATCACATGGATGGATTCATGGAATCACCACCCTACCAGAATACAGACCTGTTCTATAATCTCAAAGAAACTCCTTCATGCTACCCCTTTATAGCTGTGCCCTCCCCCCCAACCCTATCCCCTGGCCACCACAGACCTGTTCCCCATTACTCTATAATTTTGTCATTTTGTCAACGTTATATACATGAAATCATCCAGTAACCTTTTGAGACTGGCTTTTTTTCTTCTCAGCATAGCGCCTTTAACTTCCATCCAAGTTGTTGCACGGATTAATGGTTCCTCTTTATTGCTGAGTAGTATTCCAAACAATGGCACACGTATGGATGTACCACAGTCTACTCATTCACCCACTGAGGATGTCAGGGTTGTCTCCAGTTTTGGGTGATTACAAATACACCCTATGAGAACTTTCCTCAGTCTTCTCTTGCTTTGTCCATGGAAGTCTGGCTCTGGGAGAGTTCTCCTCTCCAAACCTTTCTGTCCTCTAGGAACTGTTAATCTGCTTGGAGTTTGTAGTTGGAAGGCCCAGGCATTTGCTTAGGGCAGGAGGAGTTAAACCTGAGTTACTCTGGACTGACTGTTCCTAGAATTATGGCTTTGTCTCAGTTTAATCCTAAACCTGTACTCCTGCTTCATAAGATTCCTGCTTCTTTTTCCCTCCAAAAAATCCAAATTCAGATTTTTTCTTCTTTTTAAAATAAATTTCATAACTTTAATTTTTAATTATTTATTTTTGAGATGAAGTCTCACTATGTTGCCCAGTCTGGTCTTGAACTTCTAGGCTCAAGCGATCCTCCTCCTCAGCCTTCCAAGTAGCCGGGATTACAGGCATGCGCCACTGTGCCCAGCCCAGAAGACTCTCGCTTCTTAAATGCATTTACGCTATCACTAAAATTTGTGGCCTTATTTTTCCAGATGCCATAATTTCACCAAGGATAATTTAGAATTACAGTCACTAGTCAAGGAAGCTTTGATGAACAAAATTGTTTGAGAGGCACTTTAGAACAGAAAGAGGACAAAGTTTCAAACATCCAATTGTCTGTAGGATTATTGGGGCTGAATCCATAAAGATTCAGAAACATCCATCTAAATTTCTACCCAAACTTGCACAATACCCTCTAAACCAGAGCTAAAGAAGGACTGAGATAGTCAAAAGCATGATAGAGAAAGGACTCATCATATTTTAAACAAGTCCTCGTAACATCCCTACCCTCCCAGTCAAAAAACTCAATAGGTGGGGATAGACATCTGCTCAGGACCTTGAGGTCATAAATAGAATAGTCATTCTCTGAGTAGAATCAAATACTTCTTTATCTCCAGCGCTTCCTGAAGCTGCATATTTTACAGTTGTAGATATGTATTTTACTTTTTTTAGTATTCCTTTAGATCAAAATAGGCAATATTTGTTTGCCTTCTCCTGGGAACATTAACAGTATACTTGGACTGTGATGCCCCAAAGATTAACAGGGGCCCCCTCTGTACTTTTCACAAGTCCTGAATGACAACCTCAAGGACCTTAAATATCTGTTATTCTACTGTTGTTTGACATGTGGATGACCTTTTGCTGTGTTCTAAAGATAAGCTCCAAGACTGTTCCAGCTATCTACTGTTTTCTTTCAGAAAGGGCATAAGGTTTTCAAAGGGAAACTAAAATATTGTCAAAATAAAGTTCGTTATGCAGAACATAATTTATCCCAGGGCAGTAAATCCTTTACTTCTGACAGACCACAGGCCATTCAAAACTTTCCCAATTACTTCTAAGACACAATTAAGAAGAATCCGGGCTAATGAGGATAGCAGGTTTACAACTTTTCTAAAATAATCACAGGATAACTTAACCAAGTCCAAACTTCTTCCTTGGGATTCTAAACACGAAAAGGCCTTTTGTGAGTTAAATTAGCCCTTCAACAACCTGCCAATCTGGGCTCACCTAATTAGCATAAACCTTTCTACCTATTTGTACATGCAAGATATAGACGAACCTTTGGTGTTATGACTCAACTTCAAGGTAAAGGAAAACCAGAATATGTCACCCCAAAATATGCCTATTTGACTTATTTTTGAGCTAAAAGTAATTAAAGAGCAGCAAATAGAGGATGAGCTCTATTCTCCTGCTTTTCTGCCTAAAGACAGGATATAAATTCTTCTTTACTGGAGATAGTTCTTATCAGCCCAGACACAGCACCAGAGGAATCTGTAAACAAACCTTACACCATTGGTTTCTTCCCATGTATCTAACTTCCCACAGTTTCCCCCTTTTGGAAGCCTAAAATTGCTTTCTTCTGTCCTGTTATTTCTCTACAAATGTATTGTTCTTTTCTGAAGATGGCATATAAGCCAGAGTTTGACGCCACTGCCTTGAAGTTGCCTTTCATTGGGGTTTCTCCTGCATTCTGTGCCCTCCACACATTAATAAACTTGCTTGGCCAGGCATGGTGGCTCATGCCTATAATCTCAGTGGTTTGGGAGTCTGGGGCGGGAGGACTGCTTGAGGTCAGGAGTTCAAGACCAGCCTGGGCAACATAGCATGACCCCGTCTCTACAAAAAATTTTAAAAAAAATAGTGGGACGTGGTGGCACATGCCTGTAGTCCCAGCTACTTGGGAGGCTGAGGAGGAAGAATTGCTTGAGCCCAGGAGTTCAAGGCTTCAATGAGCTGTGATCATGCCACGGCACCCCAGCCTTAGTGACAGAGTGAGACCCTGTATCTGAAGAGAAAAACAAAATAAAAAAACTTTGCTTGTTTTTCTTTTGCTGATCTGTCTTTTGTTACAGGGGTCTGTCCCAACTATGAACTTATGAAGGTTAAGAAGAAATTACATTTCCTCCCCAATAATGGGAATTATCAGACATCAATAGTCTACTAAGTCTCTCTTCACCCAATGGCAAAGCCTACTTGTCTAATAGCCACAGCAGCTAAGCTAATGGCTTCCACACACTTGTTTTTTTTTTGTTTTTGTTTTTGTTTTTATTTTTGAGACGGGGTCTCGCTCTGTCACCCAGGCTAGAGTGCAGTGGTGCAATCTTGGCTCAGTGCCAGCTACGCCTCCCGGGTTCACGCCATTCTCCTGCCTCAGCCTCCCGAGTAGCTGGGACTACAGGCGCCCGCCACTGTGCCCGGCTAATTTTTTGTATTTTTAGTAGAGACGGGGTTTCACCGTGTTAGCAAGGATGATCTCGATCTCCTGACCTCGTGATCCGCCCACCTCGGCCTCCCAAAGTGCTGGGATTACAGGCGTGAGCCACCGCGCCCGGCCGACACACTCTTGGTTTTAAGGTCTCTTTTAAATTTGATGGTCCTCCATGCTGTACAATATTTGTTGCTCACTGAAAATATACAACAATTCTCAGCAAGTAGGGTTGCCACCAATGAAATCCCATTACTTTCTCCCTCACCTATTTCTATTCATTATAATAATACTTTGACTCCTGCCACTCTCCCTTTGGATGTCATGTTCTCAATGAGGCCATTTGGCCCATTGATTCTGCCCTAGGAGGAAGAGTTAGATAATTAATTCAAGGAAAAGGAAAACTGTGCCTTAATTTAGGAACCAAAACCCTAACCACTCAAGGGAGTTCAGTGTTGCTTTCTTTCCTCCTCGAGCCTTTGCAGTTCATGCTTTGCAGAAGGCCTGGAAAGTAGGGAGAATCTTACAAAATGTGGGACTGAGGATTTGCTGCAGAGCACTATGAGATGTGAGAGAGGTCAAAGATGACCCCAAAGTTTCTTGCCCAAGCCACTGGAAGGATGGAGAAAACTGCAGGAAGAGCAGGTTTGAGAGTGCAGTGAAGACCACGAGCTCACTTAAGATTATGCTGTGGACACTTCAAAGAATAATTAAGGATATTAGGAAGCATCATCTTCCATGGGGCATAATATTCCATGCTATCCTTACATTAGCTTTAGTTGCTGGGCATTTTGATTTTTGATAGTCCTGGAATTAATATATTTGAACATTCAATTTTTGTCTAAATCTGTGACTACTTCCTTGGGCAGGGAATTACTGGGTCAAAGGGCATGATATATTTTTTAAGGACTAACAGCTTCCATAAAGGCTGTACCTTTCATTTTTTCCCCAGAAGTTTATGAGTGCTCATTTCAACACCAACATTGTTATTATTTTAAAAAGTGTGTTGATTGAAAGAGAAGTATTTTTTTATCTTTAAAATAATGTTTCTTTGATTACTAGTGAGGGAGAACATATTTCTATGTTTATTACCCATATATATTTACTCTTCTGTGAACTGTTTTGGGCTGTCGAGTTTGAGAACCCACAAGTCATCTGTGTGCTCATGTCTAACAAACATCCGGAAATCCTGCTGAGGAATTCTCACCATTCATGCCTTCTACTAAAGATCTAGTATCCTGGGATAAATCTGTACTGATCCCAGACATATCCATGGCATTTACTTTTTTTTTTTTTTTTTTACTAGATCCTTGATATTCTAGTAATTTGCTCTAAACATGAGATACTAGAAAATATCCTTATCAGAAGGTTTTAGCCTAGGCAACATAGTGAGACCCTATCTTTACAAAAATAGAAATTAGCTGGGCATGGTGGCGCATGCCTGTAACTCAGGAGTGCTGTTGCCATACTCCAGCTATCATGAAATGTATTTCGACGTGGAAAAAGTGGGAGTTTGGTAACAATGGGAAAAATTCACATCACCAGAGAACCAAAACAAAGCTAGACATTATCCAAGCTACTCTCTTATCATATTTTTGCCTAGAAAATGAGGGGGAGGAGGAAGGGGCTAAGAAGTGGAAAATGACTTAGGCTTTCCCAAGTTTTCTGCTAAAGATAGGGGAAATAGAGAATTCAGAAAGTAAACTTTAATTGCACTACCTAAATAGTAGCCCTGTGGTGTATTTCCTAAGAAATAAACAGGCACATTGAGCTATGTGGACGGGCAGCATGGTGCATGAAAAAGGTGGTGAAAAGGACTCCACAGCACCCAACTCCAGCTCTGCCTCTCACGACCTCCCAGGCATGAGAGATCCTCTGGGCAAAGGCGGCCTCTCTTTGCCTGAGTTTCTTACAGTAAAATAGAAGCGCTTTTTGGACATCATTATGTGTATGGCTCGTGGGCACAGAGCCTCTTGACAGATGACTCATGGAAGGGGAAGTGTAAATGGCCAACAAACATGTGAAACATGCTCAACATTACTAATAATTCTAAAATACCTATGCTGCCGGACTGTTGTGAAGGTTCAAGCTAACTCAAGTGGAGCATCCGCACAGAACCTCACACGTGTCAATTCAGTGAGTGACGGTTATAGGTCAGAGGTTGTTAATGGAATTTTGACAGCCGGGGAGTTTTAAATAATCTTTGACATGGGGCCGGTAACAATGAAATTAGGTAAGGAGAAGGGGATGGGGACTGTGATATTGTTAAATAAGTAAGTTGTGTGAGGGACTGATTTTGTGGATGCCATACTGAGCAGCACCCTCTCATGGGGAAAGTGAGGGATCTGGGTAGAAGCCGTGAGCTGGAAGTTTGACAGTAGTGACTGGTCAGGTATCACCTTCCCAGCATTAGCTGGATCGATAACAGATGCTTCATAAATTGTAGTTTCCCTTTCCAAGTGGTGATGGTAACTGACAGAGAAGCGTAAAGCCATGGCTATGAGAAAAGCTCGTAGACAGCTGATTCCCTAAGATGGTGCTTCTCTCTTGAGGGTGTCACCTCTCAAGAGATCAGGGTAAGGTCCTGAAGGGAGCATTGAAATAGAGTCCTTATCATTTCCCTCCTGGAATCAGAATTCTGATTTTTTTTTCTGATTTTAGAGGGGTAGTGATGTGGTCTGGGGCTTTGGCCTGTGTTCTGCATTCAGCCTGTCTTGCTCATTTGGATTCATTGCTCATTTGTTTACTCGTGACTATCTGCCTACACTCATGAATATTGAAACACCACTGTGTGCATATAGAGAATCTGGCCAGAAGATTGCAGTTCAGGGACTCCTTCTGTCTCACCCATGGCTGACTCCTCACTGGATGAGAAGGGCCGTACGTAGTGGCTAACTGCTCACCAGTTAGTAATTACTTCATAGAGTGTTGATGCATAGGGATCACTCACTCTTTTGGCCACCTCCTCAGGAAACTGTAGTACGTCTCAAAAGCAGCTTAATAGATTAAAATGTCCCCAGAATCTACTGACACCATCTTCTCAGCCTTCTCTGTTACAGATGATGACACAGACCTGTAAGGCCATTATACCTGAGGTAGGCCAGTAAGAGCAACGAGTGAGGATGTGGGGTGCACTGTATCGAAAGAGGCCAGTTCCCAGGTGCATCTCAATCTAAGACAAGCCAGGATGGCCTTGAATTAGGACTCAGGTGGGACAAATGATGACTTCACAGTGGCAGAAAGGACTTTCAAAACAAGAATAGATGAGCGAGGTGCATGCTCACAAGAAACATCATGGGTCCTCTGCAGTGCCCATCAGCACAAGGGCCCCACCAGCCTGCCTGGACATACAGGACAGCCTGCAGACCCACACCCCCAGGTGCAACACAGAAGGGTGCAACTGCTCTGGGTTCCAAGATGGGCAGTTCAGAGTCTGGTCAGGGCTAATACAAAGTTAAACCCACACTAATGGGCATGGTATAACAGCTTAATGACAGAACAAAAAACCTGGTTTTGAGGGTACAGGGAAATGGGTTCTTTTAAACATGATTGGTGAGAATATAGTTTAGTACAGCCATTTTGGAGAGCAGTTTGGTTAAAAAAAAAAAAAGATTAAAAGCCTTTAGATTTTATATACTCTTTGACCTTAATTCCACTTCTAGGAATTTTATACTGAATCACTAATTATAGATATGTGTAAAACTTTAGATATTAGCATGTTTACAATAATGAAAAACTGGAAACCACCGAAATGTCCAACAATGAATTGTTAAATAAATTGTGACACATCCAAACAATGCCACTCTGAAAAGAGGGATGTTCTAGAATATGTAATGATGCTGGCACTGCTGGCTGGGTGACTCAGCTCCCATCCCAACACCCTTCTTCCTTACCTGTCTCCAATAGAGAGGCCAGTAACACAAAATGCCTGCTTTCTCAGCCTCCCTGAGAGTTAAGAGCCACCTTGAGACCGTAAAGCAACACAGCCGCCTAAGACAGCAGGAGTGTCCTTGGCAACGTCCTTGAGCTGTTCCACTAGCCTAGACCTCCTACTTTCAGACTCCTGCCTCACGAGCAAAATACCCCATTATTTGTTCAAGCCACTGTTGACAGGGTTTGCTGTTACTTGTTTCAAAACACAATCCCAATTGATAAAACACATGGAAAGATGTTTACAGTCCATGAAGCCGGGGGAAAACACAGTCACGCACCGCATCACAATGTTTACATCAACAACAGACTGCATGTACGACAGTGGTTCCATAAGATTATGCTGTATTTTTACTGTACCCTTTCTGTTTAATGTATGTATGTATACATGTATGTACGTATGTGTGTATATATGCATTTATTTATTTATGAGTGAATGAATGAATTAATGAAGGGGTCTTGATTTGTTTCCTAGGCTGGAGTGCAGTGGTGCAATCATAGTTCACCGTACCCTTTCTATGTTTAGATCTACGTACCTATCTATCAATTATATGCCTATCTATCAGTTATCTATCTATCTATCTATCTATGAATGATGGGATCTCACTCTGTCTCACCCACACTGGAGTTCAGTGGTACAATCATGGCTCACTGCTGTCTCTAACTCCTGGACTCAAGTGATCCTGCCGCCTCAACCTCCTAAAGTGCTGGGATTACAGGCATGAGCCACCATACCCAGACCATATATTTAGATACCCAAATACTAACCATTATGTTCCAATTGCCTACAGTATCCAGTGCAGTCACATGCTGTACAAGTTTGTAGCCTAGGAGCAATAGGCTATGCCATACAGTCTAGGTATGTAGTAGGCAATACCATCTAGGTTTGGGTGAGTACACTCTATGATGTTTGCACAATGGCAAAATCACAAGACACATTTCTCGGAATGTATCCCATCATTAAGCAATGTATGATTGTATTACAGAACAAAAATATACCAACAGTTGTTGAAGAAAAATGTGAAGTATATTCTAAAATTATAATTGTGGTTCTGTCTGATGGTACGGTTATATGGGATTTTATTTTCATATTTGGGTTTATCTGAATTTTCAAAATTTTCTACAGCGAATATGTCTTACTTTCGTGATGAGAAAAAAATATTAAAAAATAAAACAAGGTAGATAAATAATTGGATAAATCTTGTGGTCAGGCAGCAATGAGTCCTTGACAATAGTTGCCAAGATAACTACTTTAAGGCTTCTGTTGCTTTCTGTCCAGGAGGTTCAGACTTCCCAGCTGGAGCCCTGGTTTTACAAGGTCCCACTGGCTTCTAACTAGGGCCACTGAGGTCCACCTTCACCAGCGGACACCGGCAGCTGCACCGGCCTAGGAGGCCAGAGGGGCTCTGAGCTCTTTGTGGTGCAGCTCCTTCTCCTGGTCATGGGCCTTGCTTCCCTCCTCCTCCTCCTGTCTCTCATCTCTTGCCTTCTTGGCAGAATCAAATGAAATAACCAATCTGAAAGTACTTCATACATTATTAGGTGTAAAAAATGGCAAGTTATTTTCCTTGTAACTCTTTCTTCTTCATTCTTTTCCCTCCTTGTTTTTAAGTCTTTCACTTTTCTCCTTTCTCTTCTACCCTTGTTCCTCTTTCCACTTCCCTCCTCCCTCCTCATCGGGTCATAATGGAGAACATTCTGGGCCTCCACAGCCTCATACCTCTGTCATTTCTCACAGGAGCCTGCCTTGTACTTATCTGTCCACGGGTCTCTCTCCTTTGCTCCGCGGTGAGTCCTCTGAGCAGAAACCATGTCTTTCAACCCCTAAGAACCTTTTCATGACACTGTCTCACAGTACTCACCTGGTCAGTACTTACTTGATATTACTAAAATTTCTTTTATTGTTTTGTTATCTAGGGAGAGCATAATAGTAACACAAACCCGTACATTTATTTGTAAAATCAGCCATCCATATATTTAAGTGGAAATTTGTTATTAGCATCTTAAAAATTTTTGTGAAGTCATTTTTTAAGAACCAACAACTGAGAATTGGTAGAAAGATAAGTAGTTTGAAAACAATATTTTTTCTTCCTTACTGCAGTTGTAAAATATTGAGAACTATATTCAGAATTGAAATGGAAACCTTAATAATGATAATGTGGAAAAAATGAAATGTTTTATGGTAAAATATTAGAACTAATTTGTATTTCAAATTTGTATTATCCACTAAAATGGTTAAAAAAATCTGCCAAAAAAAAATCTATGAGATGTCAGTCACATTAAAAGTGCATGTAGTTGGGCTGGGCACAGTAGCTCACGCCTGTAATCCCAGCACTTTGGGAGGCCAAGGCAGGTGGAACATCTGAGGTCAGGAGTTCGAGACCAGCCTGACCAACATGGAGAAACCCGTCTCTACTAAAAATACAAAATTAGCTGGGTGTGGTGGCACATGCCTGTAATCCCAGCTACTCAGGAGGCTGAGGCAGGAGAATCGCTTGAACCCAGGAGGAGGAGGTTGCAGTGAGCCGAGATCACACCACTGCACTGCACTCCAGCCTGGGTGACAACAGCGAAACTCCATCCCAAAAAAAAAAAAAAAAAAAAAAAAAAAGAAAGAAGGAAAGAAAGAAGAAAAAAGTGCATGTAGTTGGACCCTAATCCTGCCTCTCTTGCTTTGGCCAACTTGTCATCAAGTCATTGATTTTTCTCATTCATCTTGTCCCTTCCATTCTCACTGACATCATCCTTGTCCAGGTTGTTGCCATTTTGTGACTGGATAGTATTCCTGCCTCTGGTCCCTATTCTTTCAACTTTTCCTGCTACTCATTGCAAGACAAACTTTCCAAAAACACTGCTTTAGTTACCCCCTTCCCCTAAGCACCAATGGCTCTCTATATCTCTATTCTGTAGGATCAAGACCAAACATCTGTAGGATCAATTCCACTTCCTTCTTCCCCAAACCCTTTCTCTGATGTCTCCAACCCCAAGCCCCTCACTTCAGTCAGACTGTTGTTCTTCCTCCTGCCAGTCTCCCTAATACTGAATCCCTCCCCGCCTTGGCTTGTACTGGAATGCTCTCCTCCTTTCAAGGCCAAGCTCATGTCCCACCATTTCTGTGAGCACTAGCTGACAGAATCAGGATTCCAAAGTGCTGTGACAGGCTATAGGAAGAAGCTAAACCACTCCAAATAAACACATACTAGGTTCTGCATTTGTATCTTAAAAAACAAATGGAAGATATTTGGCAGAAGATATAAGGTTTGCAAAACTGTGTGCAAAAGACATAAGGATTTTACACTGGCATGTACTCTCTCCAGTGTCAACTCCCCTGGAAAGTTTTTCCTGACTCCCAGCCTGTTCCTCTGGGCTGGGTTAGCCTAGCCTTCTGGGTACTTCTGTAATACTGTGTGGAGATACTTCTAACACAGAAGTATGTCTATTTCTTCCACGTCACTAGGAGCTTCCCCAGGGCTGGGATTTTTTTCAGCCCTATTGTATGGCATGGTGTCCAGCACATAGAATGTTCTCAGATATTAGCAGAACTGAACTGAGGCTCAGAGAGCTTAGGTAACATGCTCAAGGTAACACAGCCAGTGAGAACAGAACTGATTTGAAACTAGATATCTGGTTATAAAGTCCTTCTTCTAGAATGAGGAAAGTGATAATATTCCTCCCCTCTGGGCTTGTCAGATGACACCTGTAATACTGACTTCAGTTCTGTGCAGCAAACTTTTAGAATAACATTCACAAGCAGGCCTGTTTAAAGAGAAAGACCATGACAGTGAGTGGAGTGGATATGCTCCAATCTCGGTCAGCCAAGGACCTGGTGGAGAAACTAAGGGGTTAGCTTAGAGACAGAAGAAAAACTCAGCATGACATGAGAACTGCCTTTAATGACTTAAGGGCCCAGAGGAAGAATAGGGATTACACTTATTTTCTGTGACCACAGCGTTTGTAAAACTGTGACCAAAGTGTTGAAGATACAGAAAAACAGATGTTGACCCACTGAAGACAAACATTCCCAGTACTGCTTCAGTTAAAGCAGTTAACTGACAGCTTTAACATGGTTAAAGGCAGCATGTCTACCCCAGGAAAGGGTGAGGTCCCACCATGGCAGGTCTTCAAGCTGATGACACCCTGTGGGCATGCCCTATCGGGGTCAAGAACCAGACTGAAGGCTGGACTAGCTGAGATTTTATGTTTAGATGACTTCTTAAGGTCCCTTCTAATAGATGCAACAATTCTATTATTCTGTCTTCGTTGACCTCTCTAGCCTTCAGCAATTCCTTACTCCTCTACATTTAGTGAATATTGAGTTTACATAATTCACTTGAGGATTAAGCATATATGTACCCTGCTACACAACATTTAAGTTACCAAACTATCCTTTCTACCAGGGATTACCAAACTATCCTTTCTACCAGGGATTCCCAACCCCCAGGCTGTGGACTAGTACGGGTCCGTGGAATGTTAGGAACCAGGCTGCACAGCAACAGCGAGCATTCCCGCCTGAGCTCCACCTCCTGTCAGATCAGCGGCGGCACCAGATCCTCACAGAAGCGCAAACCCTATTGTGAACTGTGCATTTGAGGAATCTAGGCTGCGTGTTCTGTATGAGGATCTAACTCAGGGCTGTCCAATCTTTGGGCTTCCCTGGGTCACACGGGAAGAAGAATTGTCTTGGGCCACACATAACATACGCTAACACAAAGGACAGCTCATGAGCTAAAAAAAAAAATCACAAAAAAACTCCATGTTTTAAGAAAGTTTACAAATTTGTGTTGGGCCACATTCAAAGCTGTCCTGGGCTGCATGCGACCCATGGGCTGCGGATTGGACAAGCTTGATCTAAGTAATGCCTGATGATCTGAGGTGGAAATTTCATTCTGAAACCAACCCCCACCCTCTACCCCATCCATGGAAAAACTGTCTTCCACAAAACCTTGGTGCCAAAAAGGTTGGGGACTGCTAATTTCTACTATTGCCATTTAATTTTTTTTTCAAATATCTTCCCAAAAAGATAAGTGCCTTGAAGTCAGGGATCACATATCATGTATTTTACAACTTTGGTCTCCAGATATCTACACTAGTTCAAAATAGAATAAAAATATTTTAAATGCTTACTTCACAACTTGACTTTAATTTCTCTGCTAATGGGCTTGTCTTTTCTCTCTTGAAGATCCCCTGGAAAGTGAGAGCCGTTTCTTCACTAGATACTTTCCCTCCAGGTATTTTTCTGTTCCTCAGGTGAAGGGTTTATTTTTATTTATTTATTTATTTATCTATTTATTTTGGGATGGAGTCTCGCTCTGTCGCCCAGGTTGGAATGCAGAGGTGTGATCTTGGCCCACTGCAAGCTCCGCCTCCCAGGTTCACGCCATTCTCAGGTTCACGCCATTCTCCTGCCTCAGCCTCCCGAGTAGCTGGGACTACAGGCGCCCACCACGGCGCCCGGCTAATTTTTTGTATTTTTAGTAGAGACGGGGTTTCACTGTGGTCTCGATCTCCTGACCTCATGATCTGCCCGCCTCAGCCTCCCAAAGTGATGGGATTACAGGCTTAAACCACCGCGCCCGGCCCTGGTGAAGGGTTTAACAAGGAAACCTTGTATGGTTAGTCTCTGCTAGTTAAGAAAACTCCTGTTGGCTGGGTGTGATGGCTCACACCTGTAATCCCAGCACTTTGGGAGATGAGGCAGGAATATCGCTTGAGCCCAGGAATTCAAGACCAGTGTGGGCAACATAGTGAGGCCTTCATCTCTACTAAAAATAAAAAAGATTAGTGGGGCAAGGTGGTGCACACCTGTATTCCCAGTTATTCGGGAGGCTGAGTGGGGAGGATCAAGCTGGAGCCCGGGAGATCCAGGCTGCAGTGAGCTATGATCTCACCACTGTACTCCAGCCCGGGCAACAGAGTAAGACCTTGTTTCAAAAATAAATAAAATAAAATAAAATAAAATAAAATAAAATAAAATAAAATAAAATTCCTATCTTCTAATGTCTCATCTGTTTCTATGGGTACCCAAGAACAAACCCCAGAAGCAGGAGCTCCTCCTTTTGGACTCACACCAGGTTCCAAGATGGCCAAATAGATTGATGAGGATAACAAGGAATAGAGGCGATAGGCAGATATGAATGGGCCAAGCAAGCTGAAGACATACTTCCCTCTGCTATCTTTCCACTGTCTTCTGTGGCCGGAATATCAGTAGTCCCCAAACAGAAAAGGCCCATTAGTATCTTGTGGGGAGCTTTTCCAAAACACACACACATACACACACACACACACACACACACACACACACACACACACACACACACACCTCTCTTAGAAAGACCCTCAGGTATTTGAAAAAGTCCCCATTCTGATTTGGCCTCCAACCTACTTAAGAACTGTTCTTAACTTTTAACTCCATCATAAAGGAAAAGCTATCCCTTCCTCCTCCATTTATTTTTTCTTTTATTTATTTAGGCCAGTATAAACTCATAGATGATTATTTTATTCAAAGGGTTATAATACATTATTATCATTTATTTTGATGTTCATAGTGTCCCAGTATTGGTGGCCACAGTGGGAGCCCCTTACAGCTGGCTCTTGAGTCTTGTTGACACATCCCATCATTCTTTGGTAAGTTCCTTACTTTCTAGAAGAATAATTTGTTCCAGGATCAACTTGCAGTTTCCCTGCCTCGGTCTTGAAGCAAGGCATTTCTCTGAGGATTCTGAGTTCTTTTAGGGGAGAGTGGAAACTACTTTTGAAGATTTAAACAACCTATTAATATCTAGGACAAAATAGGACTGCAGCAAAACCAGGAAAGAATAGAGTCCCCTCTGTGATTATGACTAATAAGCAGGGGCTGGCAAATTATGAGCTAGAGCCTCCCTTTTGGTCAAGATGTTTTACTGGAACACAACCACACCCATTCATTTACCTAGTGTCTATAGCTGCTTTCACTTTACAACAGCAGAGTAGAGTAGTTTTGACTTGAGACAATATGGCCAGCAAAGCATACAATATTTACTATCTGGCCCTTACAAAAAATGTCTGCCATCTTGGGCAACATAGTGAGATTCCGTCTTGAGCAACAACAACAACAAAATTAGCTGGGCATGGTGGCTTGTGCCTGTAGTCCTAGGTACTCGGGAGGCTGAGGCAGGAAGATCACTTGAGCCCAAGAGTTCAAGGTTGCAGTGAGCCATGATCCTGCTGCTGCACTCCAGCCTGGGTGATAGACAGAGTAAGACATCACTCATTTCTTAAAAAAAAAAAAAAAAAAAAGAAGAAGAAGAAGAAGAAAGGAAAATGTCTGCCAATCCCTGCTAATGAGTTAATAAGTATCTACATGTTATAGACAGGATTACCTATCAGGAGAAATAGAGTGATTTGGAGATATTGTAAATAAAACTACAATGTCTTCCTAGATGTCACAGAGCAGGACTTACTTAAAATTTATCAGTGCAAAATAAGCTACAAACTTGGCAAACTGTAACGATGTCATGATGTAGAAGCTGATTGTAATGGCAATTATAAAAAGGGGATGGCTTATTATGGAATCTAGAGAAAAAGATAGTTAGAAAGGAAAACTATGTTAGTGCAACTGTAACACTGTCCAATGGACCACTCTGCTTAGCTGGAATTGGTATTCTGGTCACTAGGATGAATGATGTCTCCTCTGGTAGAGAGAGGAGAATTAATCAAGCTTGAACCATGGTGTGGATAACACATAATTTCTTAACTTCCAACTGTATTTGCTCTGATTTCATGCTTATAAATCAAGCTCTGATTACCTTTCTGATTTTCAAGCCACCATGATACAGGGAAGAAGTATATTTATTAAATTGACTTTCTGGTACAAATGTGCCTAAGCAAATAAATGTAAGTCAGTTTTCTCAGGGCTTGGTGACCTCAAGAAAAGCTGATAATTAAGTTATCAGATCAAAATACCTGAGAGACTAGATCCTGAATTGTGTCAGTTTCCTCAGAACATGGCACACAGTAAAACAGTCAAGACAGCCAGATTATTATCATGTTTCTTTCAAAGTAGGCAAATGCAAAAGTATGCTGAAATGTTGGACAGCTCCCACACACAAAGATTAGGGCTCAAGTCAAATTCTGGGGTATTCTGGTAGCATTCCTTAATGTCAGTCTTCTCAATTAGTCTCTGTCTGGGGGGAGAGCGCCATCTCCTACTCAAGGAAGCATGGTTCTCAAGACATCCATCATGAGTTCTTGCTTTCCTGCCAGGCATGAACTTTTGGACACAATCAATGGTCATGGCCAAGTAGGGCCTACAGTAGTAGGATAAAGAACCAGAACTGTCCTATTTCCTAAATCCAGCAAAAATCGAGTTGGTAAGGCTGAGAAGGGGGCAGATGACTCCTCAGCTGGTCTTCAACCTGGCAATCTCATGGGGAGGGAGTCACATCCATACCAAGAGTTTAGTCACCACCTGAAGTGTTAGGGACATCAGGCAGGAGCTACACATCCTCCCGACCTCCCCAGAACTTTCCCTCAACAGGAATTTTTTCTATCCCTGGAACAACTTCTTTCTGTGACCTGGAGAAGGACTTAGCTCTAAGTAGAGAAACTGGTGTAATATGGTGGGGGACTCTGTAATTTTGACACCAAACAGCCTGAAGTGACTGATGATAGAACAGATGGTTAAGAAAGGAGCTTTAACAAACCAGTTTCTGGTTTTATTTTAATAATGTCCTAATTTTTTTTATTTTTCTTGAGATGAGTTCCACTCTTGTTGCCCAGGCTGGAGTACAGTGGCGCAATCTCGGCTTACTGCAATCTCCACCTCCTGGGTTCAAGCAACTCTCCTGCCTCAGCCTCCCGAGTAGCAGGGATTACAGGTGTGCACCACCACTCCCGGCTAAGTTTTTGTATTTTTAGTAGAGATGGGGTTTCATCATGTTGGCCAGGCTAGTCTCAAACTCCTGACCTCAGGTGACCTGCCCACCTTGGCTTCCAAAGTGCTGGGATTACAGGGGTGAGCCACTGCGCCTGGCTAATAACGTCCTAATATTTTACCTCATCAGGGTCTTCCAGTTAAAACATGCATGGTATTTCCAGAGAAAGGAAAAGTGGGAGCTATACAATCCCTATGACTAAACTGAAACTAGGGAAAGTAGCAGAATATAAAAAGGGCATGGAAGTACAACATGTGCAATAGGAAATAAAACAGAACACTGGATTTCTCAGGAGAGAAGCAACACATTATACAGAATCAACACTCCATGTAGGAAACAGAAGGGTTTCAAATCATCTTCTCACTTCTGGCCTACACAGTCTTCACAAGGATATCAATGAGTAAGATGCAATTGATCCTATTTGATTCTAGTTTTATGGAATGTATACCACATTTCATGATTGCAGTGGGGTGTGTTAAAACTATAACATGAATTCAAGGGCAGGGATGAGGCAGTATCTTACATTTGTCATTTTTAAATTCCAAAGCATGGCTGAAGTAGGTGCTTCATGTTTGCTGAGTGACCTGTCTTCTCCTCCCCTCAAATATCCATTCCAAACTCTTAGTATAGGTCAGGATTAAAAAAAAAAAAAAAAATTATCTGGGCCGGGTGCAGTGGTTCATGCCTGTAATCCCAGCACTTTGGGAGGCTGAGGCGGGTGGATCACCTGACGTCGGGAGTTCAAGACCAGCCTGATCAATGTGGAGAAACCCCATCTCTACTAAATTACAAAATTAGCCAGGCGTGGTGGTGCATGCCTGTAAACCCAGCTACTTGGGAGGCTGAGGCAGGAGAATCGCTTGAACCAGGGAGGTGGAGGCTGCAGTGAGATGAGATCGTACCACTGCACTCCAGCCTGGGCAACAAGAGCGAAACTCCATCTCAAAAAAAAAAAAAATTATCTGGTAACATTAGTCAGTGAGAATGAGTACTACGCTTCTCCTAAAATGTGACTTTAAAAGTATATTTTTGTCAAAAGGTATTGCTATAGCACTTAGATATAAATATAATAAATATGAACATACCTCTTTTATTCTTCTCCCTTAGTTATGGAGTAGTAACAGTTTCTGATTTTCCAAAATCATGAGATTAAAAAATTATACACATTCAATCTCTCTTAGGAATCTGGCACAAAGTATATGAGTGTGTGGTGGTGGTGGTGAAAGGCAGGGAATCAATTTCCACGTGTGGCCTAAGGAGGTCAAGGTGCAAAGTCTAGCATGATTTACGCAAGTTATTTCAATAAGAGAAGGAGAGGAGGAATGCCCGATGCTTTTAGTGGGATAGAGAGAACACAGACAGTTGTTACCCATTTACATCTGGCCCAATTTGGAGTCTGAGAATCTGATCTACAAATGCAAGACAGGATGCGTGCCTAGACGTTGCCAGGGCCTTCCAGAGAGACCATTTAGGCAATCTCATGATTACAGGATTCTGAAGGGATGGAAATAGAAAGGAGATAAACTGTGTGAAAATAGGCCAATTTCTTTTATTTATGTGGGGCTCTATAAAATGAATGTGGAATTCTATTGTTTAGAAAAAGAGTAGGGACTACCTCGGGGCAGGCAGACACAGCTGATAGAACTGGAGTAGGGATTTGAGAAAGCAAGCGGCAGTGACCCACAGACCATTTGTAGCCAATTGTCACCAACAAAGTCCTCTTCTCCCTATCACCACCACCAAACTGTTTCTTTTGTGGTGAGGCTGTAGGCAGTATTGGTCCAGCCACCACTATCACTTCCTTCCTGCTATTGTCTTTCCACTAGGACCAGACATACCAACTGACCACAGGCTGTACCTCAGTGGCAGACCCGACCTCCCCTGGGACTGATTGACTAAGCTTCCCTACAATCTGTTTGGATCTCTTTTTTTTTGGGATGGAGTCTCACTCTGTCGCCCAGGCTGGAGTGCAGTGGCACGAACTCGGCTCACTGCAAGCTCTGCCTTCCCGGTTCACACCATTCTCCTGCCTCAGCCTCCAGAGCAGCTGGGACTACAGGCGCCCACCACCACGCCTGGCTAATTTTTTTGTATTTTTAGTAGAGACGGGGTTTCACCATGTTAGCCAGGATGGTCTCAATCTGCAGACCTCGTGATCCGCCCGCCTCGGCCTCCCAAAGTGCTGGGATTACAGGCATGAGACTGCCCGGCCGTGGATCTCTTAAGTTCAGTAAGTACGTGGTGCGCACCCACTGAGTGTCAGGGAAATGCTGGGCACTGGTGACAGGCAGAATAGCCTGAAGGCCTTGCCATTCAGGAGCTCACAGCTGAACAGTGCAGGAAGACACATGCAACCATAACATGATATACTAGAGCTATAACAGCAGTTGATTCTTCCCTGTAATTATTTAAGCAATTACTCTCTTGGTAATTACTCTAATTGTTATTAAATTCAAAAAATTATAAAAATAGTATGTAGATTTAAAAAACACAGAGGTGCATAAAATTTAAAAGTTTCCTGTTACCAGGTATGTATATTCCTCAGACCTTTCTATATACATATTCAAACTATATATACCTATTTGTACAGTCATTTAAGAAAAACTGAATCAAAATAGAAATATTGTGAGTTTTTTTTTCTCCTCTAAAAATATGGTTAGTTTTCCATCCCTCATTCTCTTTGATGGTTGCATGGTATTCTTTGGTATCTGAGAAGGATTCATTCCTCTGCAAAGGTTCAGGAAAAGTTTTGGGCAAGAAGTGATGTGTAACCTAGTTTTGAAGGAAGAGTGGGAGTTCACTTAGTGGAAGCAAACCCAAAAGATGATGCTTCTGATGCATGCATAGGAAGGACTGAGTGGAAAGCGGCTCAGGGAGCGGGGAGAGCATGGGGCGCATAGGAGGGGGTGTGGAAATACACAGCTTCCTTGGGAACCATCAGGAGTCCAGGGGAGCTACACTGTTCTTCAAACTTTGGTCTGCATCAAAATCACTTGGGAATTTTTTGTTTGTTTTCAAGACAGTCTTGCTTTGTCGCCCAGGCTGGAGGGCAATGGTTCAGGCTCACTGCAGCCTCACACTCCTGGGCTCCAGCGTTCCTCCCGCCTCAGCTCCCCAAGTAGCTGGGACTTCAGGCACGCACCACTGTACCCAGATAATTTTAAGATTTTTTGTAGAGACAGGGTCTCACTATGTTGTCTAGGCTTGTCTTGAGCTCCTGGCCTCAAGTAATCGTCCCACCTCGGCTTCTCAAAGTGCTAGGATTACAGGCCTGAGCTACCACACACAGCTGGAAATTTCTTAAAACTGCAGCTTCTCCATCTCCTAACTCAATATTCTGATTCAACAGGTCAGTGACCCCAAAGTCTTTTCTCTTAACCACCACACTAGGCTGCCCCTCCTTATGTGATAGCGAGTATTCACACCATCCTTCATAAGACAAGCAAGGCAAACGAAGTCCGGAGAGTCTCCTGGCAGCAGAGTGGAGCATCCTGACATCCTTAGATTTTGCTGTCACTTAGCCATCTCATTTTTAGTTTTGTAGCACCCTCCTCTACACCAGCTCTTCACTTTGTAGTTTTATATCACCTTTCATCTGGGAAGTTCAAAGTATTCCCAACTCTGACCTGATGATTGGGCGATGGGAACAGCAATAACCTCATTTTACAGAAGGATACATAGAGGCACTGGGGAACCGACTTTCCTACCCTGATGAGTCACACCACAGCTCAGAACAGAATTCAAGCCTGCCTTTCATTCAGTTTCTGCTGTTATTGTCCTTTCCCTTGCATTGCACGGACTCCGGATCACTTTCTTATTAATCGAGGCAGTGTATGGAAAGCATCCTGCACAGCACCCAGCTCATGCAGAGACGAGTCATTTCTTTCCCTGACCACAACTAAACAGGGACTGCCTAGGGCTTTGGAGCCTAGCGGGTGTTTCTGGATGTTCTGCAAAACAGCCATCAGAAATTCTACATAGCCTTTTCTTCTTCGAGTGCCAAGAAAAACTTCAGAATGCCATCACACAGTGAAAGGTGAAATGGTGGCATTCCAAGGCTTGGCTTCTTTATCAATGTGGGATACATTGGTGCTGGAATTACGTGGCTATTATGAAAAAGCTGAGGTGGTGATGCTGTCTACCTGTCGGGCAGCAAGAATGAATAATAAACTGGGACTTCACCACACACAGAGGTGCTGAGCTGGAGCACAACTCTTCTCTGCGTCCAAGGGGATACAAAGAGAGAAGCAGGAGAGTTTTTCTGCCAAGGAGTGTCAGGGGCCACTTTTGGCTTTGGGTAAAGGTTTTCAAGCCAAGATCAACTCCACATACCTCAAGGAGGAAACCCCCTCTAGGGAAGAGGTTCCCAAAACTTAGGGTACACATAGGTGACTGGCCTATTACTAATGCAGATTCCTTGGGCCACCCTCAGAGAGGGACAGTTGTGGGCTGGGGCTTCAGAGTCTGCATTTTTCGCTGGCTTTCCTGGTGAGTCAGCAGCAGGACTACACTTGAGAACCCCGCTCTAGAGAACACACACACGATTTCCCCATTTACCAGCACTGTTCTTGTCACTGTTAATCAGTCAGTGGACTGACTATTAAGCTGAGTCAGGGCAAAGCATGAGTTTTACATTGCAGTTTTCCCTCATCTCCAGAAACTTCAGTCTCCTTTCTGGTTGGATTCCAGAATGTTGTGATGAGATAAAACAACTTGCAGAACAAATATAAAAAAATTTGCTGAAAAATTTCAATGATGAGTTGCAGCTATTAATGACCACTTAGCTAACTGGTTTCTTCTGCCAACATTTTTAAAAGCAGCTAAATGTATGCAGTGTTCTTGATGCTCTGATATACAAGTTGAAAAAAAACAAGCTAGAGACTAGGACAGATATTACCTCACACCATCACAGAATAATGAGATGCTGGAATGTCCTTGTATTTAAAAACTGTCAGGGAGGAGCCTCCCCTTCTAGCAGGTCAGGATGCTGGTCCCATGAAGACAATGGTATCACTTTGCTGTGGCTGCTCACAGTGGGCCAAGGGACACACCATGTAGCAATGGCTCTGGCAGTTAGAACCTGGCCTCCAGCAGGCCCGCCTGCTTAGGAGCTAGTGTTGTCTAGAGAGGTGGCCCCAGGAGAATGGGTTCTTTTTGTGTCCCCTACCTTGAACTTCATGCTTTAAACTAGAGCAAGTATTCAACAAACTTCTTTTTAAAGTGAAATTCATTAATTGGAGTCTCAGACCTTTGTGTTATGAAAAGAAGAGCTGAAGCAGAATTAAGCCATTAATTATCTGGCAAGTTTCCGAGGCATGCACCATAATTTCTCATAGTGTTTCACAAGCATGTAGGAGGTGGCTGCTTGCTGACACCTTTGTCTAATGCCTTGTCCTAGAAATGAGTCTGGGTGGTTAGGAACACAAACATTTCTGTCCTAATAAGATTCTTCTCTGATCCCTTTATTGATTGTCAGATCTCTTTTTGAAATTCTCCAACTTTGTATTCAACCCCTAGAAACTTTTTCTTTCTTTCTTTTTTTGTTTTTTGAGATGGAATTTTGCTCTTGTTTCCCAGGCTGGAGTGCAATGGCGCGATCTCGGCTCACTGCAACCTCCGCCTCCCAGGTTCAAGCAATTCTCCTGTCTCAGCCTCCCGAGTAGCTGGGATTACAGGTGCCTGCCACCATGCCCAGCTATTTTTTTGTATTTTTAGTAGAAACAGGGTTTCACTATGTTGGCCAGGCTGGTCTTGAACTCCTGACCTCAGGTGATCCACCTGCCTCAGCCTCCCAAAGTGCTGGGATTAAAAGCGTGAGCCACCGCGCCCAGCCAGACTTTTCAAAACAGGCATAAATATTTTCTAGTGGATAATTTTAATGCTGAGAGTTAATTCTCTTCCTCAGTCGCAACTCTACCTCTTTGAACTCAGCATGTCTTTCATCTGTAAATATGAAAATAAACATTAATAATTAATGCTTTTTCATCCTCTTCAAGGAGGAAATTTTTTATTTTTTTATTCCCACATTACACTGATATACAAGGAGGAAATTTTATTTACTTCTGAGGAAGAAATCATTTTTTCCAGAGCTAGAGAGATAGGCAGGAGCAGAATGGGAACTTGGCTTTTGATGGTCTTGATGTGAAGCCAAACCGCTTCAAGTAATTCCGTCTGACTTCAAGGGTAGCTATTACCGGGGCACTCCCTCCTGAGTTCTTACCTCTAGGTGGAAACTCTTTCACACGGTGGCTCCTCAGCTTCCCACTCTCCCTCCAACCAACACTCCACAAGCACCATTTCCATCTTCCATAGCATCTCCCACAGCCCTCTCACTCTCCATTCAAACAAGCATGCCCCATTACCTCTAATCCCCATACCATGTCTACTGCTGTGATTCATCCTCTGGATCTTCTCCAGTGGCCGGTGTCTCCACAGGCACCAGTGCTATGATTGATGGCTGCACGGAATACCCTTACTGGCCCAAACCAAAGGCCCATCCAGCTTAGTCTGCCTGAGAAGGACCAAAGGTGAGTGCTGTAGAAGACCCTCCCCCACGCTCTCACCTCGAAAACTTACAGGGAGAACCTCATCTTGCCTAGCTCACATTCATACCCCCATCTTTCTGTTGCAGCTGACGTAGCTTTCCATGTTTTCTGCCTGAGAGAACCTGTGCAGGTAATACATTCCATGGATACCACTTCTGTATAAAGAAGTGTTTCCTTTGATACTGCTTTTCTCAAGATTCAGGGAGTAGCATCTAATTTGAACATACCCATACCATTTAGGCTTACAGACTATGGTAGGTTCTCAAAGATGTCCGTGTCCTAATCCCTGGAACATATAAATATGTCATCTTAAATGGCAAAAGGGACTTTGCAGATGTGATTAAGGTTTCTGTGATGGGAAGATTATCCTGGATTATCTGAGTGGGCCCAGTGTAATCACCAGGGTCCTTATAAGGGGAAGCAGAAGGGTCAGTCAGAGAACAGTGATGATGGAAGCAGAGTGATGCGCTGCCAGGAGCCAGTGAATGTGGGCAGCCTTTAGAGGATGGAGGAGGCAAAGACGCGGATTTTCTCCTGGAGGCTCCAGAAGAAACACAGCCTTGCCAACACCTTGATTTTGGCACACTGGATTAGTTTCCTGTGCCTACTGTGACAAATGACCACAAACTGGGTGGCTGAAAACAACAAAGGTCATTCTCTCACTGGTCTGGAGGCCAGAAGTCCAGCATCACAGCATCGGTAGGGCTGCCCTCCCTCTGAAGGCTCTTGGGGGAATCTGCTCCCTGCCTCTCTTCCAGCTTCTGGTGGCTTCAGGTCACTCCAATCTCTGCTTCTGTGGCCACACTGTCTCTTCTCTCTCAACACCCCTCTGTCCTCCTGCTTATAAAGATACATATGATTGCATTTAGGGCCCACCCAGATAATCCAGGATAAACCTCTCTCTCAAGATCCTTAACTTAATTAACACTTATTGCCATATAAGGTAATACCTATTCTTTTGTCCTATAAAGGAATATTTACCAGTTCTGGGGGATTAGAACTCTCACAGTAATTTGTTAGGCAGCAGTAAGAAATGAATACCTGGCTGATTAGGTCTCCTCTCACTGGGACTTCCTAGGCTGCTCTCTCATTCTCCAGGGGTTGCTCTGAGTTATGGTGGTTGCCCTGTGGCCATGGCAGTATGGTACAGCACTGGTCTGGGCCACACCTGAGCAAGTGGGGAGGGTCTCCAGGGCCTGCTTCTGCCACATTACTGCTATAGGAATAGCTTCACCAACTCAGATCTATGCTGCCAGAATGCTCTCTGGCTAAGTCTTTGCACATGGAGAAATGAGATGCACAGAACAGAATTTGGAATGAGAATATTGTGAATTATCTCAGGAGCTGGGAAGATGGCCCAGGTAGGATTCTGCCTGACTTGAGGAAAGGCCAACATCCTTCCCCAAAAGGGAAGAAGAGTTTCAACAGCACATGTCTTAACAATCTCTCTCAGGGCCGAAGCACCATCTACCTAAACGGTACTAAGCAAATGATATTGAGGCTAAAGAAAAAGGAAGAATTCAGGACCTAGGGATGTCCCTTCTACTCCTTCCCAAATGCTGCAGTAAACTCAGGCAGTTCAGCCAATGATCTTGGGCATTTAGACACCTGTGGGTAAGTTTAGCTAAGGCAGAGTTTCATTTTGATCTTAAACAAGTCATTGCCCCTATGTTTCAGCTCTCCACTGGCACAGTGAAAGCATCTCCTAGGGGTGAGTTCAAAACAGTTCCCTGACATGTCTTGGAAATAGTGCTACTGGGGACAAAATCAAAACTAATGTTACCTGGGGCAATGGGAAGTGCGTTCTGCATGTAATTTACACTGGAACTTGATATGACTACTGTAAAAACTATAAATGAATATGATCCTTAGTTAAAAGATTTATGTGCGACTGGAAGAAAATGGAGTAATATGTTCACCACAGTGAAAAGCAATGGTGGCAACGAGCTTTCTGTATGGAGGGGCTTAGGGTTGGTAATCTGGTGGGAAGAGGGAGCTAGAAGAAAGTCTTGAAGCTGCATATGCAGAAGAAGGACACATTTGTATTTGGAGCATATGTTTCCTTGGGGCAGCTTTCAGGAAGAGGGCAGTGCTAAAGCCCACCCAAACCACCCCCTGGTGCCACTGCTGTCTGAGTGGTAGAATTAAAAGTAGTTCTAATTTTCTCACTTACTCTTTACTATCTTTTCCAATTTTTCTACAAATGAAAAATAGTTAGATTCCATGTTTAAAAAAAATAATATGTTAGTATGTGTGTAGAAAAAAGTTGGAATATTCAACAAAATAGTGGCAGTGATTCTCTTTGGGGGACAGAGTTATGGAGGACTTCTACTTTTTGCATTGTGCATTTCTGCAATGTTTTAATTCATAAATATTTAATTCTAAAAGCAATTTTGAATTATATTTGTCATCCAGCAAGGGGTTTTTGATTATGACTATACACTAAAGGCATTAAACACATAACACTCTTACAAGTTTCTCTGAAAATATGGGCAAGGTCGTAATGATTTTGAGAATAATATATAAATATATTTAAATTCATGGGAAAGCTAATGCATGGACACAAACATTATTAGGGTGAGGGTGAGACAAGTGATGCAAAAATTCTCGAGTGTTCTTCAGAGGAATAACTGTGGACTTGGCAGTCATCTGAGGAAGTTCTTTCCAAACCTCACATCCCCAACAAGGGGAAGGGACGGGGTGAGGGGCAGCTGCTACCCAGGGACACCTGGAGTCAAAGGCTTCTCAGTTGTTTCTCTTTGCTTGCCTTGGGCCTTCAATGGGTATCTTGGGAAGCTTCTTAAGGAAGCTGACAGGCAGCCTCTTTGGAATTAGAAAAGGCTGTCAATTCCAGAAAACCAAGCTGAAAGGAATATATAAGATCTTTTAGCTAACAGCTCTGGGAGCTTTAAAACAACTAGTTATTTCCTAATGCCTCCCAAAGAGGTCATCTGCTCTAGGTGGCAAGCAACATAATTTCCACAGAACAGCTAGATACTGGGAGAACCATCTGAGTTCAAATGATGAATTTTAAAGATAAAGGTACAAATGGGATCTTCTTAAGTACCCTTGACAGGGCCTGCATTATCACTGAGTTCTCAATACCCTTCGAGAGGGCCTCAGAGGCATGAGTCCTCTTGTGTTATGACCTCCTAACACATCCTGGGACAGCCACGAGGCCAGAGCAGTGCCTTGCTGGGTCCTGAAAAATCAAGCCTTCCAGGCCAGGAGAAGTTCAATCAGAGGCTTGCATGTCTGAGAAGCCACAGGGGAAGCAGAGCAGTACTTGGGGAGAGTTGCTAGGCAGGGTTGGGGGTGCTGCATGGAGAAAAGGAGTTCTGGAGCCTAAGCTTGGAACCCAGTGGGCTCCTGGAAGATCTAGTCATCCATACCTAGGAGAGTGGGAAATGCACCCTTCGGAAAGGCTCCACTACACATTTGATTTTTAATTTATGCAAGCACAGATTATGTGGTGGGTTCCGTCTCTGAATGTCTATCTCTGTCTCTGTCTTACTGGAAGCTTAACTCTGCCCAAGTGAGGCTTTATTGAACAGGATAGTGGTAGCGGTAGTGGGATCTTCCTCTCATGTCTTTCCATTTCCCTCTGACAGGAGCTGGGTTGGGCCTTCCTAATTTTCAATGCTACTCCAAATCTTGAGAGTCTCTGAGTTTTGACTTTGAGAAGTCCAAAACATTGCTTTTGCTGGCACTCTTGTCCATTAGGGACAAATGTGAGGGCTTTTTCGTTAGTTACTATGGTCACTATATACTCACTCCTAGGTACCATTTCATAGCATTAAGGATGGACAGCAACAAATATGCCTTAGAAATCCATTCATTCTGCAATTATTTGTTGAGCCCCAGATACTGCTAGGTCTCACATGGTCCCTGCCTCATGAAGCTAGTTATCTAGTGAAATGGATAAACAGTAGTAAAATAATCATTCTACCTAATTATAGGCCAAGGGCTAATTATTCTCAGGTAGGCTGACTAGGTGGAAAGAGAAAAGAACAGTGGCAGGAGGCTGTGTTTATAGAGAGTCCATTTAATTCCACAGGCAACACAATGCACTTTTGCTCCTGCCCCACCTGGCTTGAGGCCTGTACTGCAAGCTGTTTGTTCCTTCCTGGTAGGGACTGGCAGGGAGCCATACTTCTGCTTAGGTCCTGGCTTTCATGAAACGGGACTACAAAATGTCCAGGCAAGGTAATGTCAGTGTAAGGCCCTGGAAAGAAAGCAGCCCTAGCTTTTCCGTTTCCACAGGTTGACTCCTGCACCTGACTTTCCACATATTCCCACCTAGTTAAGTCCCCTGCTATCAGCCCCTGTGGCTGCTTTGCATGGTGAGCTGTGTAAATGGCTTCAGTTGTGCAGCATGAAAGTAATGTGAATCCAGCAGGTGGAATAAAGACCACAACCCAGGGTGTTAGACAGGGTCAGAGTCAAAGTGAATGATCTAGGAGGACATGAGAAAGAGAGGGGTCAGAGGAGGAAAGGACTTTAGGCCAAGTTTCATAATAGGCAAGAGAGAAACAGGGCTGTTATAAACAGTTGTACACTTTGTACACTGCACAAAGCACCTTGTGGAGGAGATGAGGGCTGGAACCCTCACAAAATGAGTAGAACCCAAGCTCCACTCACAAAACTGCATTCCTAGCAAGGGACTCTATCTGTCTGGAGGAAGAACCTTCACTCACAGAGGCCAGAGAGGCATGGCTCAGTAGGGATCTGCTCAGAGAGTTGGAAACCACCAGACTCACGCAACAGCACATCTAAGAGTCGACTGTCAAGCCTGGGAAGATGGGCCTCCTTGGATTTTGAACACTACTGGAGTGTAGGTGGAGGAGGGCTGCTGGCTGGGTGCCACTCTTTTGTGACAAGCTGAGACCACAGAAGCCACTGGCTGACACGTGGAGGCTCCTTAGAGGCCCAGCACCTTTTCAAGGTAGGCTCCATGATCCAGCTCCATCTTCATTTCTCCTTCATCCATCTCAGCAATCCAGCCACACCCGGAAGGCACAGCTCGACTCCTGAGATTTCAAATATTCCTTTAAGAAATGTTAGTGGTTACACGTCTGTGTTAGAAACGTAAACATTATACAAAGATGAACAAAAGTAAAAGAAGCCTCTGCCAAATTTTAATATGAAAATCTTCCTCTGTCAGTGGCCTCCTTACTGCTCATCCCTCATATTCTAAACCTGTTTTCCGTTCCCACTGGCCCCTGTAATTCCTCTGCCTCCTCATTCTGGCTGACAACCAGCGCCTGTCTTCAACTTGTGGCCCTTCCTCTACCTCCGGCCTTAGGGCCAGCTACTTCACTGCATCTTAAGTTTTGACTCCTCAGAAACCTTGCCCTGAACATGCCAAGCAACACCCATTCCTGGTGCCCGTCCCCACTCACTGCTGCTTCTCTGGCCAGAGGACTTTAAAGACTCAGCCCATTATGAATTCATAGGTCCAATGCAGCATTCACAATAAGACCTTTATTCATCTCTCATATGCCCAGACTTATTTCTCACTGTGGGTAATTCAGACCTTCAAGAACTCAATTCCCCACCAACCCTCTCCCTCCCCCACCTCAGCAAGTGGCCTTGGCTCTATTTTACTAAAGAAAGAAAGGTCTTTTCTTAGGAGGAACCCCAGTAATCTATCCTGGACTTCACCCTAAAAGTCAGGGGTAGAAAGAGCCATGCCCTCTTCTCTTCAAAGGAACCTTTCCCTGGGATCCTAAAGATCATTCCTTTTTGCTTTATTTCTCTCTTGTCTGTGTACTATTTTCTTTGGATAACTCCTTTTCCCTTCTGCCATTAAACATGCTCAGACCTCCTTCTTATAAAAAATGATTCTTCGTCAATACCAAACTTTTACTCTAATTGAAAGTTGGTTAGATCACCATGAAGAACGTTGTATAAAAAGCTTATTTAAAAAATCGTACCCTTTGCACCTCTGTAATTCACTTTATGGAATATACCATGAATAAATAATCCACAAAAGAAAAAAATGTCACTTGTACAGTAATGTTCAAATCAGAGATATTTACACTTGCAAAATACTCCAACTGCCCAACAACAGATTGAGGTTAAGCATACTGGTATCAATATGATGGGATACCACCAAAGGAATGAAATATGTGAAGTTACAAATATATGGATTATGTCAATATAGAGAAGTCTGCAGATGAAGCACATTTTAATACACAAAATATATTTTAAGAACCACATACTACAATTTTATATGTTTGCTGATAAAGAATAGAATTATTTTACAAAAATAAAATATTTGATTCGATTGCTTCTTCTGGTTACTACTTTCTTTCCCTCCCTGCTGCCATTCTCTGGTGACCAGCCATTGCTTCTATTTTTCTCTGTCAATTTTCCCCTTAAACCACTCCAGTGTTTTACTGAATGGATACCCTAAGCAATCATCATGACTGCCTTCTAGTTAAATCCTTAAATCTAGTTAAATCAGCAGCACTGAAACTCTCTTCCAGACATTTTCTCTTCCCTTGCTGCTGAATCATCCTAATTTCCCACCATCTTGTTCCTTTTTTCCTAACTATGGACAGTTCTCAAAGCTTATTACTTGGGGCTCTGGTCTTTGTACTCTGCATGCAAGACCTCTGGAGAGATTCCTTTGAGGGAATCCAGCCCTCCTCTGTGCTGCTGACTCCCACTCTACAGCTCCATCCACAACCTGACCCTCAGCTTCCGGTTCTATGAGATCACTCAACTTGGATGTCCTGCAACCCACAGTCACGTTGTTTTTAGCTCTCTGTGTCTAAAAAGCAACTCCTTTCCAAACTGTCTCTTCAAACTTCCTAATTTCTGGTTAATGTCACCAATATTCTCCAAACTCAAAACCAGCACACATCCTCAGTCTGGTAAGGCTGCCCTGCCTACAAACCCCACCACACCCCTTCCCACGGCCATTCCTTTGCTGATGCTGTACCTTGCCTCCTGAAAAGCCCTCTCTGGTGTTCTGTCAACTCACAGCCTGCTCATCCTTGAGACAAGGTCAGGTTCTGCTTCCTTTGTGAAGTCTTGTCTTTTTTTAATAGAGATTGGCCCTTACTCTGCCACCCAGGCTGGAGTGCAATGGCATGATCATAGTTCACTGCAGCCTCAAACTCCTGGGCTCAAGCCATCCTCCTGCCTTGGCTTCCCTAGTAGCTGGGACTATAGGTATATGCCACCATGCCCGGCTAATTTAAAAACAATTTTTGTAGATGGGGTCTCGCTATGTTGCTGAGGCTGGTCTTGAACTCCTGGCCTCAAGTGATCCTCCCCCCTTGGCCTCCCAAAGTGTTGGTATGACAGGCGTGAGCCATTGCACCTAGACTGAAGTCTTTTCTGATTACTCCAGTTCACAATGATTATTTTCCTCTCAGCATCCTTTTGGAATTTAGACTCTGTAGTACCAGTGACACCCAATGCACTGTTCTTTTCATTTCTTTTGCCTCTCTTCCTCAGCTGTCCTCTGATGAGTCTCCACATCAACCTGCACACCCAGCTCCAGTGTGTCTTCATCTCTGAAGTCTTTCTGGTTCTCACAGGCTCAGGGTGACTCTTCCTTCTGGCTTACCAAAGCACCCTTTCCCATAGCTGATAAGGTTCCATCCCCTCATGTTACAGTGACATACAGTTTTGTGTCCAACTCTTTTGCCAGAATATTAGCTGAATTCCTTAAGGGCTGACACTGTGTCTTATAGAATAAGGCACCAAAGATGTGTTTCTGACATGCAATATTGTCATATGCACTAATCATTCCATATATCCATCTTGTCTTCCACACACATTACAGCCTCCTCATGGACAAGGGTTGAGTCTCATTTCCTTTATATCCCATAGTGACTAACAATACAAAACAGAGAAAGGGCTTGATGAAGAATACGTGCTGAGAGCATGCTTACATGTCTTGTGAAGATGATATGCAAATTTATATGAATAATCTGTAAACCTGGGAACTATACTTTTGGGGTAATAGAAGTCTTATCAAGTTGTCTCAAGACACTGTACCTTGCTATTTTGGGGCCAGCATAACACATCTCTGTACTTAGCAGTGATCCTGTCACTTAAGAGTGTTAATAGGATGCCTAAACTGAGAGCTTTCAGCTATGAGCTCTAAGCATCTAAAATCAGAACAAATCAAGGACCAAATCAGAGTCCCAGGTAAGTGTCAATAACCTTCAGGGAAGCGGGTGGGGGTGGAGGGTGGCTGGCTGCCAAGAGTCTGGTGCTGCGGAAAGGCCTGGCTACACAGCACACATTATGCCACTGGAGATAAGCCTGCGTGAAACACTCCTCACATGGGAAAGGTATCTAATTTCATCTAGTGGTCTAAGACCTGCCCCTTTCACATGGCAACACACACCTTAGACCCAACTATGATCTTGCTGACTCAGAAGCAGTTAAGATTTCATTTCTTACCAGTCAGAGAACACCATATAAATTACAAGGTGACCAGGACCACAATGCCCTCAAGATAAGATGACTGTTTCTCCCACAATCACTCTCTCCGAGTGGTGGAGTCTCTCCAGCCAGCCATACCCAAAGACTTGCTCACTAATAATTCCAGCAGCAGGGAAGGCCTCCACCCCATCTAGGACAAGTATTTGGGTAGCCAGACCATTTGGAGGAAGAGGCAGATCCTGCTTAGCAAACATTTATCACAGCACAGTTCGAGCTATGTGACAGGCCATATGTTCTTCAACTCGAAGTCCCGGATCCTCAGGAGGAGGCCAAAGTGCCCCTTTCTCAGTGCTCAGAGCTGGGCAGACTCCACCACTGGTTGAAGGCAGGTATCAGTCCACTGGACTGGGCCATCTAGGCAATGTACAGTGTGTGTGTGTGGATGGGAAAGATGAGGCCAGAGGACAGCTGCCCGGCCAGGCCCTACCAACACAGTCAGCAGCTCCATGGACCTGGTGTGGCACAGGGGGAGTGGCCTAGCCTATGTCTACATAGGGCTCTGCCCATCGGGTGGCCACAGGTGGGCACCCAACCCTCTCTATCCCTGGAAGGAAAAAGGGCCTCTGAGCTCATGGCTGAACGGAAGGTGACAAAGGGCAAAGGGAGGAAGGCAACTGTAGTGGGCCTGGGCAGAGTCTTTTGAAACAGACAATTCAGACAGGTGCACATCCACACCAAAAAATGAGCAAAACCCTCAAAAAAGGCCCCTGGAACACTGGAGAACTGGGAATACAGAGAATCTGAAAAGACACCTGGGAAAAGAAGGCCACCCAAAACAGAGCCCTGTGGTATACAAGGTTTTACTAAAACCTTCCGATACATGTAAACAGTAAAAGGAAGAGGCAAAGAAGACTCTAAAGATTGCTCTACTACATGGAATCTAGAAGTCACTGGTTTTAAAATGTCATAATTAAGTTATAGTTGCTTAATGCAGAAAAGCTTAGAAAACACCAACAAGCACTAAGGAAAGCCATTCGTTTTTAATCCCATTACTCAATCACTTATGACTTGGCACATGCTCTTCTAGTATCTTTTTCATGTTTTTCTTTATAAATATGGTTTTTTCCTTGGCATACTATTTTTCATCCTGCTTTTTTCACTGATATTAAAAGTTCTGGTATTAATATTCTTCTCCAAATGTTTTTAATGCCATGCAGTATTTTATTTGGGCGAGCCTGACCAATCCTCAGTTGCTGGCACTTTTGGTTGTTTTCAATGTTTGATATTACTAGTAATGTTGCATTAATAAATCTTTTACAATTATTTCTGTACACACCTCTGATTTTCTAAATATTGCTAGAATGGCACTTTCTGGTCTAAGGATATACATCCTTTTAAGCTTTTTTATATATAGTCAAGCTACAAGGCAGATTTGAAGCCATGCTTCTTGCTCAGTTATTTTAAATGTATCACACAAGTGGTATGTATCTCCTATATCTAGGAAATAGTTTCAGGGAAAAAATCATTTTGCATGGAGTTAAAGCATTTTAGATAGGACAAGTCCTTATTTACTTGAGGCAAATGAAGCATCCAGAGCCTAAAACACTGACGTTATGCTAAAAAGTTGACTAACAACATCTGGTCAGTTTAGCAAAGCTGGTAGGGCATGGTGCTAGTGAGTGCAAGATCTAGGCTTATGCTAGTATTGGCCAGTCAACTCTGTGCACAAGAAAAACCATCCGTGGCCACAGCATGCTTCACGAAACTTGGCTAACTGTCACACGAAATTGTACTCTTGGCCAAAGGGAAGACTGGGTGATGGAATGTGAATTACTCAGCATAACCCATCCTAACTCCTGGGTAAGCAACCCAAAGCACATGTCCAAATGATAGGTGTGTCATCTTTCTATAATAAACATGACATCTGGCTAGAAAATACAGCTGGCCAACTTACGACAAAATTAAAAGCTGAACAATCCTTAAGGATTTTATCAGAGTTTACCAGTAATTCCTACCAGAAGCAGTTAATCAGTCATTATGTGAAAGATGTGCTGTACCAGCCAGGTCTGACCTAGAACTTAGCTACACAGTGTGCCAGCATTTCAGCTTGGGTCCCTTTAAACTTCAAGCCCTCTTGACATTAACTAAGAGGCAGGAATTTTTCATGAAGGTCATATAGTCAGATGCCATTTTCATCAATAGCTGAAAATTAGCTTATTAGAATAATTATGATTATTTTAGCTGGTCAACAGATGGAGGGGACTATTCTCAAGAGGGGAGTGAAAAGACTAGGAAGAGTTGATGGGGTAGGTGGTCAGTTAAGTACCCTGGGCTGACCGGGAAGCAGCCACTTTGGAGGGTCCTGCCCTCACTTAAGAGCTTGATTTGGTGCAAACTGCCTGGGCCTGCTTGAAGCTGTCAAACCCTATTTGCCCCAGGCATGGGAGGCTCCAAGTAAAGGCAGCTGCTTCTTTTGTACCAAAATGTATTTACTGAACAACAATCACTACCCATTCTATTTGGTCTTCATTAAATGACTAAAGCATACATGCTTCTTATAACAAGTCAAATACAAAAACATATAAAGTAAAAGTTCCCCTTTGAGTCTCCTTTTCCCTTCCCCACACCCAAATCCCACCTCCCAGAGGTAAACATTATTGCGTTTCTTTTCAATCTTTAGATGTCTATACATGGGTATTTCCTTCCCTACTGAAATTTATCTAGGAATTTAAATTCACTTTTGCTCTTGCACCTGAACAGCTTGCCCTGGTTCTTTAATTACTCAGTAGTTTCTGCCTTGAGCCAGTCTGTAATTCTCTCCATCCAAAATGACCTCCCTTTACCTCTGCTCACTGGCAAGGTTTCCCTCTTAAGATGAATAGCTCCTTTCCCTTGCCCCCTGGATCTCACGGATGCAGAAGCTGATTTTAGCAAAGTCACCGATGAAATCTATGCCTCTACCAGTTGAGGAAGTCAATAAAGACCACATGTGTGTCCCTCACAAGCAAGAGCTCAGCAGCTTTTCTATTTCAAATGAAGACCACTCCCCAGACTGGCCTCCCTGCTGGAGAACTAGCCACCCCCACCACACACCCAAGCACACCACATCTGTGCCTCCTAAAGTCAAATGCTCCTGTCCTGCCAGTCTTTCAGGTTGGCTGAATACATGGAGCAAAGATACATTTCATATACTCCGGTTTTGGCAGTTGAAATAATAATGCAAGTGCCGGGTCTTCCCGGTACAAACCTTTTCTCTGTTCGTGTCAAATACCGAGAGGGGTGCTGAGAGATGGGGGCTACAAAACTGAGAGTCCAAGATGGACCTAAATCACGAAACAATTTTGAAACCATTATTTGCTATTTTATGCTTTAGTCAATATAAAATAATCATTGCTATTTCTTATGAAGCAAGCACTCTACATACTCCCTTTCATTTAATCTTCACAACAACCCTGTAAAACAGATAGTTATTATTCCAGGGTTATAAATGAGGAAACTGGCATTCAGAGGTAACATAACTCACCCAAGGCCACACAGCCAGGAGATGGCTGGATGGGGATCTGAACTCAAGTCTGCCTGCTTCCAGAGGTCAGGCTGCCTCCGCGCTTCCCAAGGAGAGGGTTTAGAAGTCCTTATGGCTCCCAGAAACTACAAAAGGTTCCATTCTGAGAGGTGGAAGATAAGCCCGCAGCTGCCCAATGTGCACGCTCCTCCTCTCAGCCCCATCTGCCTCTCCACCTTGCTTTCTGGAATGCGGCAGTCTCACAGATAAGAAGTAGAAAAGACTTCAAATACCCAACTTCACATTTGCTTTTCTGTTAGTTGATGCAAATTAAAAAAAGAAAGACCTTCCTGAAGTCAGAATGTGTGATAAAAAATATTATTTTTAAAGTGGCAAGAATAAATATTTAGTTAGACAGTTTGACACAAAATTTTGCCTGGCTGTGCAGCATCTCAGATGACAAAACAAGCCCTTGCCTACAGGGCTAATTACGGACTACTAAATTATTTTTATTAAAACCCTTTGGAACATTATGAGGGATGAGGCAATGTGGTGTTGAAGAATAACTCTAGTCTGGAAATCTGGAGATCTAATCCTGACTCAGCCACTAATAACCACCAACATTCATCTGCCTAGTGTACACAGTTTACAAAGTGTTTTTACATACGTTCTGCATGGGTTGGGTGACCTTAGGTAAGTCATTTAACTCTTGGTGTCTTGTGTCAACTTTAGAAATGAGGGCATTAAACTATACCATCTGGGGTCACCTCCAGTGCTAACATCCTAAGCGAGGGAGACATGTGCCTTGGGACCTTTACAAATGTATCTGTAAGCAAATCAGGGCAGATGCATTCTGTTTTAAAAAACTATATTTTCTGGCCAGGCGCGGTGGCTCACGCCTGTAGTCCCAGCACTTTGGGAGGCCGAGGCGGGTGGATCATGAGGTCAGGAGATGGAGACCATCCTGGCTAACAAGGTGAAACCCCGTCTCTACTAAAAATACAAAAAATTAGCCGGGCGCGGTGGCGGGCGCCTGTAGTCCCAGCTACTCGGGAGGCTGAGGCAGGAGAATGGCGTGAACCCCGGGAAGCGGAGCTTGCAGTGAGCCGAGATTGCGCCACTGCAGTCCGCAGTCCGGCCTGGGCGACAGAGCGAGACTCCGTCTCAAAAAAAAAAAAAAAAAAACTATATTTTCTGTTCGGCTTCTGACAAATGTTACTCGGCTAAATTCAGGAATAGCTCATAAGACGTTTGCTGCCAGTTAGTTGGCTCAGTTTCTGGAGAGTACCACATTAAGACCCTGGGTTGGATTCTCATATGGGAACTTTCCTCCGTTCAATAGCCTCCTACTATGCCTAACTCCAGCCAGTCATCTTACAAATACAACCCCACAATGTGTGCTGGCGTGCAGGAAGGACTAGAAGAAACTCAGCTTCACAATGCATGCACTCTCAGGACGGTAGGTCAGAAACGGCATCATCACACAGGAATACTATCAATAGCATTCTTTCTCAGTTCCAAGATTCACAAATCCCTCCCTCAAGTCTTGCCATTTCCCGAGGGTTTTAATGTTTCTAAAATGAGGATGCACCTTGGAATCAGCATATATATTTTGATCTGGTAGCATTAGATTATTTTACCTAAAAGCTATTGGTAAATTGCTGGTGTGTCTTAGAATCAAGAATACAGTCCTACAAAACCTCAATACCATTACATAGATTTAGGTCTAACTTGGTTCAAATCATGTCCCTCTCCTTGATCTTAACAATTACATTCAGCAACAGCTGGATAGGCAATGTATAAGACAAGTATTAGTCCTGTTTCCTCATAGTAGCAGTTTAAAAGGCATTCCATCATTATCTCATAAAACACTGGTATGGATTTCAAAGGCAAATTAATCCATATAAAAACTACTCTGATCCTCTGAAAATGTACTATCCCATAGCAAACTGGAAAGGAACATTTTACTTACACCCTCCTGATCTATCTAGCCTTGACACATTTTCTTCCTCCTTAATTCACAACCCTCCACCCCAGTAATATCGCTGATTCCCAAAATACACTCAGCCCAGGAGGAGCAGCTCTCCAGTACAGCTGTCTGCTCCTGCCCTGCTCGGGTATTTTGGTGAGCTATGTGACACAGGACCACACAGAAGGAATGCCACTCTCAGGCCCCACAGTTCCCACTGCACCACAGGCAGGTGCATCCCACCAAACCCCAGTCTGGCATTCGAAACAGAAGAAACTGCCCTGCTGGATGGGGGCTATAGTTTTCCTGAACTTCATCTCTATGTTTAAAACTAGGGCGACAGCCGTCTTGGCTACTGTAAACTAATCTGATGGGCATGGGGGCAGGGAGTGGCTATGAGGAGGCTGCCAATAGGCCATGATTGAGCAAAGTAAAGAGTGAAATAGTTATTTCTCATTGTTTGCAACCCCGGAAACTCCAAATGAGTGGCTCCTTCACCATGATTTTTAGAAATGGACCATGCGTTCCTTTTACCATCTGGAGTAAAAATCCCAAAGCCTCTTGTGCGGTAGATCTGGCTTATATTTACACGTGCTTTCTAAAAGCACACTGAAATTTGGAAGCCAAATAAAAAAGAAGCTGACAATGAGGTCATATAGTAGTTAGGGGCCCTCAAGTTGAGACATGTTTATTAAGAGTTTCTGGCTCTGGGCACTAACTCTGACTTCAACTCAGTTCTTCTGGAAAAAGAAAACTGTTTGGGACCCTCTTCTATTCCAAGAACAGGGACTGCAAGATGGGCAGGTGGAGGGGTAGCAAACATAACCCAGGGAATTGTCCAAATATGCTAGAACCCCTATCTGGTGACAGCCCCACAAAGACACACAGCTGGAGGAGGCACAGTGTACAGGCCTCACACCTACACCATGGAGAAGCTTCGATTTTTCTCCTTCCTCTCAACTCTGCACACGTTATGTTAAAAACTCACTACTATCCAATTAGTTAATTTACAGGAATCCAAGATCAAGTCCTGCCACAGCCCCTTCATATATAAACAGTAAGCACTTCCTATGGATGGTATCAGGCCTTTTTCCAAACCTCACATTATACCAGGGTTGTAGTGCGATTTAAAAAAAAAAAAAAGCATTTTAAAGAGTTCCGCAAGATGCTTATTCACAACACCACACCGGAAGCGCAGGAACTTGGAGCTCCCAAACGCAACCTCTTCTCCCTTCCCTCCACTACTTCTACTCCCCGCTCCGCAACACCGGCCGGGCAGTAGCTCAGCCCACTAGAAGGCCACCAGGCACTAGCCGCGTTCATTAAACGCTAGATGATCACGATGGGGCTGAACCCTTCCCAGCCAAATCTATTCGGAAAGCCCTGCAAGCTCTGAGCAGCCAGTGAGAACTGTCCAGACCTGCTTCCCCAAACCAGCCAGGCAGGAGCGTGTGGGGAAGAAACCCGAGGCCCCCAGGCTGGGCCTGGCCCGATGTTCCCCCTCCCCCAAGTCTCCCCTCGCTCTCCTGTCACTCTTTTTCTGGCACATCACTGGGGAGATCCAGAGAGGCCGGGAGATGTCAGGCCTAGGAGGAGTGAGGAGGAGGGAGAAGGGATAAGGGCGGACGGGAGGTAGTTTGGAGAAAATATCAGCCCAGGGCAGAGGTGCGGTGGCCACGTCTAGTGGGGAAGGAGCCTCAAGGTGGACCCGGAGAGACGGAGGGAAGGGGAGGGGAGGGAAGGGGAGGGGGAGTGGCTGGGGAGGCCGGGCCGCCAAGGCCGGAGGGAACCCGGCGACAGGGATGGAGGGGGTTGACCGGCGCGGGGAAGGCGCGGTCGGGATGCGGGAGTGCGGGTGGGGAGGCAGGGGCGGGGGGAGCCCGGTTCCCCTCCCCCAGCCCGGGCCCTGGCCTCCCGCTGACTCAGCCCCACGGCGTCCGTCGCCTCGGCCCGGACTCACAGTGCACGAGGCGGCTCCGGCGGAGGCGGAGGGGGAGGGGACAGGTGGCGGGGGCGCTGCGGCAGAGGCTGCGGCTCCGGCCGGCGGCTCCGGGGCGGAGGGTCCTCGCTGAGGCCGCCGCGGTCTCCGGCTTCAACGCACAGAGACTGCGGGGGACGAGGGCACTGCGCAGGCGCGATGCGGCCGCCGCTGTCAGTCCGAGCGGGGCGGGGCCAGGGCACCCGCCGTCTCCAAGGCAACTGAGCCGCGGGAGGACAGCCCCTACCTCCACCTTGCCTTAGCGATTGCGGCGGGAGGCGGGGGGCGACAGGAACAGGCCCACTGCGTTGCCGTAGCAACGAGGAGAAGAGACCGCTTCAGACGTGTGCGGCGGTACCGAGGGAACGCGCCTACCTCGTCACCATAGCAACTGGGAACAGCCCCTTCCTTTTTCCCTGGCAACAGGGTAACAATCCCTCCGCCCTGTCTCATCACAGGAGGAACAACCGTGTGCACCTGATTTCAGTAGCTGGATGACGGATTTTCATCTTTTATGGCTACGGAAAAGGAAAAAGAGACGTTTTCTTCTCTTTCAGCGACATGGAAGAGCTAAGGCTGGGTTTTATCTCCTCTCTTGGTGTGTGGGTTCCAATCACAGTCTTTTTCTCTAATTCCCAAATTCATTTTTTTTTCTTTTTTTTTGGGACGGAGTTTCACTCTTGTCGCCCAGGCTAGAGTGCACTGGCGCGATCTTGGCTCACTGCAACCTCTGCCTCCTGGGTTCAAGCAATTCTCCTGCCTCAGCCTCCCGAGTAGCTGGGATTACAGGCGTGCGCCACAATGCCTGGCAAAGTTTTTGTATTATTAGTAGAGACAGGGGTTTCATCATGTCGGCCAGGCTGGTCTCGAACTCCTAACCTCAGGTGATCCACCTGCCTCGGCTTCCCAAAGTGGTGGGATTACAGGCGTGAGACACCGCGCCCGGCCCAATTTTTTTCTACCTGTTTTAAACATCCCCTTTCATCTCCTACCAGAGAGTGTGCCCTTTACCCTTAAATCGAGCTAACGAAATCGTCTATCCACAGACCACTTGAGTTTTTGTCAGCCTTATTGTCTCTCTCCCATTGCAAGGATAAACACCTCATTTCTTCATCTTGCTCACTATCTGGTTTGCAGTCCACTTCCTCATAACTAGCTCCCTCTGACATGTCCATTCGTTTTCCCGAATTTCCTCCTCCAAGCATGCTGTTATGGATCTCCTCGGTTCTTCTGGATCTCCCTTTCCTCTCCACACTTGCTGTCCTTGTCCAGCACTGCTCTGCCCGGGGCTCCAGTATGTTCTTTCCCCCTGTGACTTCAGCATCTTGGTTCTCTTTGTGCTGATGTCTTCTGGCTCTTCCTCCCTCAGCCCTGATTCCCATGGATGCCTTGAGGTCACCTTTGTACCAACCCTGTACATTCCTCCTTTCTTACACACACCTTACACTATCGTCATTTGTTTACGTGTCTGTGTCTCCAGACTATGTGACCCTGGTGGGCAGGAATTCTGTCTTTTTCATCAGCTCCCTCAGCATCCACCACAGCATGTGACACATAGCAGATTCTGAGAAATGCTTATGTAATTGAATCAAATGAAGACAAATCTTTTCCTTCTTCTTTTCTCTGGCCTAACTGCCTCAGAGTCCCAGTCCCCATTTCTAATACCTTTACACATAGTTTGTCTTTTAGTACTATGCTACTATTATAAGTCTTTCATCTCCTTAGCTTTCCATCCTGTTAATTGAGACTCTGGCATTCTCTATTTCCTGAATCCTCGCCTCTAGCTCTTCTCTCTTCTACACTATCCCAAATGTTTCTACTAAGGTAAATTTCCTCACTGGGTACCAACCCCGTGACTCCCATACCCTCCATAATCAGCGTAAGCTCTTCACACCTAACCATCCTGATCATCCCCTAACCAGCTCTAATCAAGCCTTCTTGGTGAACGTTACTGGATTCTGCTGGGCTTGTTGACATGCCAGAGATGCAGCATTCTCTTCAAACAACTCAAAAGCAAGAGCTCACAACCTAGCATTCTCTTCCAAATCTCCCTGTCTAGCTCCCACAGATTCCGCCGCAGGACTATTGGTGCCAAAGCACCCCAACTAAGCCCATTTTCTTGGGGAAAAAAGAAGAAAGTTACAAATAGAGTAAGTAAGAAAAGAGAGGGGACACAGCATATCCTCTCTTCTTCCACCTAAAGCAATTATCAGAAAGGAGAGAGCTCTTTGTAGACAATAATTCCCAAAACAAATCAAGGGGTTAGGAGAGTAAAAACCCAGGCTACACTTTTTTCTAGCCACAGAGTTGGACAACTGGAGCTGTTTCTAACTGCATCTGCAGGGTATCTGGGTGTCACCAAGGCAATAGGGAAGTCGCACGCTCAGTTTATCTTGCTTTCCCATTCTGAAGTTCCAGCTCAGCTTCATTGTTACAGGTATAGACTTGGGTGGTGTAGACTGTCCTGAGTAATCCTGAGAAGAAGCTATGATCCTTGTAACCCCACCCCTTTGTCATACACAAGGTAGAGGACCATTCTACAAAGAGTTCCTATATACCCTTCACCCAGATTCTCTACATATTAACATTTTACTATGTGCCATTAACTATTGCTACAAAATGAATCACTCCAATTCAGTGGTTTAAAGCAACAACCATTTCGTTATCTCTATTTCTGTGGGATGGGAATTCAGAAAGCCCGCAGTTGGATGGTTCTAGCTCAAGGTGTGAGTCAGAAGGTGGCTGAAACTTAAACAGCAGGGTGCTTGCTGGACGACTTTTTATGTTGTCTTAGTGCTTATAGATCATTTGTGTAATTTCTTTGCACGAATGTCTAGTCAAGTCCTTTGTCCATTTTTGAATCGGACCGTTTGTTTATTGTTGTTGAGTTTTAGGATTTCTCTATATATTCTGGATATAAATCCCTTATCAGATAATATATGATTTGCAAATTATTATTATTGTTATTGTTATTATTATTTTGGGCCAGAGTCTTGCTCTGTCACCCAGGCTGGAGTGCAGTGGCACGATCTCAGCTCACTGCAACTTCCACCTCCCAAGTTCAAACGATTCTCACGCCTCAGCCTCCCGAGTAGCTGGAACTACAGGCATGCACCACCACACCTGGCTAATTTTTGTATTTTTAGTAGAGACAGGATTTCGCCATGTTGGCCAGGCTGGTCTCAAACTCCTGACTTCATGTGATCCACCTGCCTCGGCCTCCCAAAGTGCTGGGATTAATGGCTTGAGCCACCCACCACACCCAGCCCCAGGACAGTTTTCTAATACTGTTAATTCCACTTCTTTAGCTTGTTTGTTTGTTTAAGACAGGGTCTTGCTCTGTTGCCCAAGCTGGAGTACAGTGGCGTGATCACGGCTCACCTACAGCCTTGACATGCTGGGCTCAAACAATCCTCCCACCTCAGCTTCCCAAGTAGCTGGGACCACAGGGGTGTGCCACCACACCTGGCTAATTTTCTTTTAGATTCTTTTTTTTTGTAGAGATGAGGTCTCGCTATGCTGCCCAGCCTGGTCTCAAACTCCTGGGCTCAAGCAATCCTCCAGCCTTGGCCTCCCAAAGTGTTGGGATTACAGATGTAAGCCCAGGGCCTGACCCTAATTCCACTTGTTGTTGTTGTCTTTGAGACAGGGTCTTGCTCTGTCACCCAGGCTGGAGTGCAGTGGTGTGATCATAGCTCACTGTAGCCTAGACTTCCTGAGCTCCAGTGATCCTCCCACCTCAGCCTCCTACATAGCTGAGACCATAGGCATGTGGCACATGCCAGCTAATTTTTGTGTTTTTAGTAGAGACAGGGTTTCACCATGTTTCCCAGCTGGTCTAGAACTCCCAAGCTCAAGTGATCCACCCACCTTGGCCTCCCAAAGTGCTAGGATTACAGGCGTGAGCCACCGTGCCTGGCCTCCACTTCTTAAATGCCTCTCAAAACTCTTCCCTTCTTTATCTGCTTCACCTTTACCATCTCTTGCCTGGGTTACTGCAGAGCTTCCCGCCTGCTCTCTCTGCCTTCAGCCTCTCTCATCTCCAATCCATTCTTTACACCATTGTCAGAAGGCTCTTTCTAGAAATAAATCTTATCACATAACTATCCTGCTTAAATCCCTATGGCTGTCCTCAGACCTGCTGAAGCAACTTCCGGGATGGGGGATTCATGTAAGGAAACAGGGCGGAAGAAATATAGAATAGATTATCTTCCTCATTTTTTTTTTTTTTTTGACCCAGGCTGTCATGCAGTGGTGCGATCTTGGCTCACTGCAGCCTCTGCCTCCCGAGTTCAAGCAATTTTCCCACCTCAGCCTCCCAAGTAACTGTGACTACATGTGTGAGCCACCACGCCCAGCTAATTTTTGTATTTTTTGGTAGAGATGGGGTTTCACCATGTTGGCCAGGCTGGTCTCGAATTCCTGACCTCAAGTTATCCTCCCACCTTGGCCTCCCAAAGTGCTGGGATTACAGGCACGAGCCACTGTGCCTGGCCCTCATTTGTTTTTTTGAAGTAGGGTCTTGCTCTGTTGCCCAGGCTGGAGTGCAGTGGTGTGATCATGGCTCACTGCACCCTTGAACTCCTGGGCTCAAGCGACCCTCCTGTCTGGGTCTCGAAAAACACTGGATAACAGGTGTCAGCCACCAGGCCTGACCTCTTGAATTTTATTTATAATAAATACATCTTTAAACGTAATCTTTAAATTTTATTTAGAGATTCAGAAAATATTTATCTTATTTTAATTTTAAATGTATTTTTATTTATTTATTAAGGTAAACATTTTTATATTAAAACAAACAGACATAAGATGGAGTAGAATATAAGAATCACATGATTTCAAAGACAAGACCTTTAAAGAGAGTTTGAGCTCAACATGGGCTGCCCTCTATTCCCATGCCTGTGTTATCCACTGCCTTGGGGTACTTTAAGTGGAAAAGTTTGAGAAACATTGGCTTAAAGGATATAAAACTTCAGACATCTTCACATGGTGGACAAGCTCTACTACAATCTGGCCCCTACCAACCATTTCCCCTTCACCTTCTACTCCTTTTGTACCCTATCCCCTACTCCAACTTTTATAGTTCTTGCAGTTGGCCAAGCAAGTGGTTTTGTTTTGTGGCTGAGCCTGCCTTGCAGGGTTGCCCTTCCTTTCCCTTCATCAGGCAAACTTGGACTCATTCTCCAAGACCAGCTTTTGTGTCACCAACTTGGTGGCATGGTCATGGGCCTCCCCCAGAGAACCGACTTGCTCTTTCTTTTTTCTTTTTTCTTTTTGAGACAGAGTCTCGCTCTGTCGCCCAGGCTGGAGTGCAGTGGCACAATCTTGGCTCACTGCAACCTCCACCTCCTGGGTTCGAGCGATTCTCCTGCTTCAGCCTCCCGAGTAGCTGGGACTACAGGTGTGCACCACCACGCCCGGCTAATTTTTATATTTTTGGTAGAGATGGGCTTTCACCATATTGGTTAGGATGGTCTTAAACTCCTGACCTCGTGATCCTCCCGCCTCAGCCTCCCAAAGTGCTGGGATTACAGGCGTGAGCCACCGCGTCCGGCCCCTACTTGCTCTTTCTCCTTGGTACCGGGTCCATTCTTTGTTATGGTTCCCCTTTGCCTTCAGTTATTATGCTTATCCCCATGTTTCCCCATAGGAGGGCCTCACACTCAAAGACCATATCTTATCTACCTTTGTATTCTTAGCACCTTGTACTTTGCATTCTTAACATCTTGGAGTAAAATCACCCAAGCAAGTTGAAAAAAATCTGATCCTTCTGCACTTTCCCCAAGGTAAGTGGGCAAACCAGAGGAGTCTAAGAGGGTGGATTAACTCTGTGAGTTGCGGGGCTAGAGTTTAGATTGGAGCAAGCAAGCCTGCCCTGCCCCGGCTGTGAGGTGGAGACAGGAAGGTGCTGTAAAGTTGGTAATTGTTACCAACTGCATTCATTATTCATTTGAAACTAGCTAGAAGTGGAACAGGGCACTGAAATAAGACTGATTCCCACAATACAGGAAACCTTTGACATGGTTTTGAATGTTTACAAGAGACCTATGTAAGTCATACACAATTTTGCTGAGGAATGAATTTTAATTACATGCCTTGAAATGAATGAGCCCTTATTTAGAGAGTGCATCAACCCTCCTCCCTGCTGGAGTTACACAAGCACTGGGTCCAACACTTCCTAGCTATGTGACCTTGGCCTTGGTTTTTCTCATCTGTAGTTGTGATGGTTAAATGAGATAATGTGTGAAAAATGCCTGGCACTGCCTGATGGATAAATATCCAATAAATGGTGACTATCAACACTAACAAAACTTTCGTAAGGGTCATTCAGTAGGATCACTACTTGATCCCCCCTCTCCGCCCCAGTTATACCTTCTATATAGAAGCTAGTGTGGAAACTGAGAACTTGCAAAGGTCTTAAGACACACCTGTGAACATTAATGACCTGCTGTTTCCAGAATGCCGAGCAACTCAGGGCCCCAGAACTATTCTTTCACCCCTCCCAGCTTCTGCATCTCCATCTGCTGTTCCAGATGCTCTGTAGCCACAATCTGTGCTTCTCTTCATAGTGGTCACCAACTCAAACTTCAAGGGCCAATCCATGCAAAGGTAGTGTAAGATAGAGGTTAGGAACATTGGTTGGGGAGTTGGACTCGAGTGAACACACTAAATCTACCACTTACTTGCTCTGTGGCAAGCTATTTAACTCAGTTTCTCCATCTGTAAATTGGGGACAATAATAGTAAATACCTTGGAGAGTTAATATAAGGATTAAATGAGATCATGTTTATTAGATACTTAGGGCAATGGTGTGGGCATTCAATACATGGTATTAGCTATTATTTCTATTTAAAAGTGAAGTGTGGGCCAGGTGCAGCAGCTTACGCCTGTAATCCCAGCATTTTGGGAGGCTGAGATTGGAGGATCGCTTGAGGTCAGGAGTTTAAGACCAACCTGTTCAACACAGTGAGACCCCATCTCAAATAATAATAATAATAATATAATAAAATAAAAGTGAAGTGTTACATTCATTGTAGACAGTCTCCCAAAGGAGGTAAAGTTAATTGTTACCATGGCTGACACTTTTAGTTGTCTCTTTCTCATGATAATTATATATTATTATTATTATTATTATTATTATTATTTGAGACAGAGTCTCATTCTGTCGCTCAGGATGGAGTGCAATGGCACCATCTCAGCTCACTGCAACCTCCGCCTCCTAGCTTCAAGCGATTCTCCTGCCTCAGCCTCCTTAGTAGCTGGGATTACAGGCGCATGCCACCATGCCCGGCTTTTTTGTATTTTTACAAAAATAGTAGAGACGGGGTTTCACCATGTTAGTCAGGCTGGTCTCGAACTCCTGGCTTCAGGTGATCTGCCCTCCTTGGCCTCTCAAAGTGCGGGATTACAGGCGTGAGCCACCGTGCCTGGCCTGGTAGTTATTTTATAAAACTAGCATATATTCAGATCCTATGGCAGCCAGGCATGAGATACATACAATTTCTTATAACCTCCTTGGTCACCTTCTGAGGTTAGTATTATTCCTTCCTTTTTTTATTTTTTGAGATGGAGTCTTGCTCTGTTGCCCAGGCTAGAGTGCAGTGGTGCGATCTCGGCTCACTGCAACCTCTGCCTCCTGGGTTCAAGCTATTCTCCTGCCTCAAACTCCCGAGTAGCTGGGATTACAGGCGCCCACCACCACACCCGGCTAATTTTTGTATTTTTTTGTAGAGAAGAGGTTTCACCATATTGGCCAGGCTGGTCTTGAACACCTGACCTCAGGTGATCCACCTGCCTCGGCCTCCCAAAGTGCTGGGATTACAGGTGTGAGCCACCACGCCCAGCCAGAGGTTGGTATTATTCTTATTTCCACACATAAACAACAGAGGCCCAGAGAGGTTAATAACTTACCTAAGATAACACAGCTAGTGAACATCAGAAGTGGAGCTTGAACTTAAAGTCAACACCAAAATCCAGACTTCTTCCACTATCCCATGCTTCCTACATTTTCTTGTGTGTCAACATGTCTTTTTTCAAACTCACCTCTAAATGCAGGAGCTACACTTGCTTCCTGTTGTCATGTCTCACACATGCCTGGTAGATGTTCTATAAGCATGGATTAGACAGAAGGTGGAGAACTCCTGTAAATAAACCTAAACTAGAATTGCCACATAAAGACAAGACACTTTAGTTAAATTTGAATTTCAAAAAAACAAAAAATAATTTTTAGCATAAGTATGACACAGACATTATTCGGACATAAACTAAAAAATTATTTTTTATCTGAAATTTACATTTAACTGGGCATTCTGTTTTTTTTGTTTTGTTTTGTTTTTTTTTTATGGGATGGAATCTTGCTCAGTCGCCCAGGCTGGAGTGCAGTGGCACGATCTCGGCTCACTGCAAGCTCCGCCTCCCGGGTTCACGCCATTCTCCTGCCTCAGTCTCCCGAGTAGCTGGGACTACAGGCGCCCGCCACCACGCCCAGCTAATTTTTTGTATTTTTAGTAGAGACGGGGTTTCACCGTGTTAGCCAGGATGGTCTCCATCTCCTGACCTTGTGATCCGCCCGCCTCGGCCTCCCAAAGTGCTGGGATTACAGGCGTGAGCCACCGCGCCTGGCCCGGCATTCTGTGTTTGTATTTGCTGTATCTGGCAACCTTATCCTAAATTCTGAGATTGGTCTTGAAAGGGACAGCTTCCTCCAGGGAGCTCCAGACGGGAGAAGGCTGCTATGGCCACTCACTCGCACTCGAGGCAGAGGAGCCTGAGCTGCTCTGGGGGCAGGGATTGGGGCCTGGTAACCTGGACACACCTGCCATTCCTTCAGCTTTATCTGTTCACATCGTAAGCCAAAGCAGCGACCACTGATGAGCTGAAAGCGCCATCTGGAGGCCTTTACAGGTAGTACAGTGGCCACGGGCCATCCCACAAGATCCAGGACTTGGGGAGCAGAGAAATGCCAAACCAGACAGAGACCACGCAGAAGAGGAAGCCAGCCTGGAGGTGGCCAGGGGCAGGGGAAGATGGATCTTCCTGGCATTTTCGGTTTTCAGCAGCTGCTGCTCTGGCCGCCTGGGGGTGAAGTCACTCTCCACAGGAGGTTACTGGCTAGGGCTTCACGTTCCTGGAATCCTCTGCCTCTCCAGCTGTTCCCAGCTCTTCCCCAGGCTGGAATTCATGGCCTTAGGAGAAGCACCATAACCTGGGTTGGCTGAGGGTATTAGGGCTCATGCTTGAGGGTAGTTTTAAAAATCTTCACCCTCCGTCCTCAGAGGCTCATCAGTCATGATTATCTTCCAAGACAGAACAGTCTTTAATCCCATGGGCCAATAGTTACAGGGAATTTCAGCCCCACTCCAACCTTAAATCAGTAACACATACGTGTATAGCAAAGTACTTAGCATACAGTAGGCGTTTAATAAGCATTACTTCCCTTTTCCCTCTGGATTGAATGCCTCTCCTCCTCACCTCCATCTCATCTTCCCAGGCTCTTTGTATGTGATATGAAAGGCTACCCTTAGCATCTCCTTCTTCCTCAGTCTGGGGGCACAGGCACTGAGGACAGTCGCTCCTGGTGAACTGACCTCCCAAGCGGGCATGGCCTGCCACATCCCCAATCCTTTCGGAGCAGCAGAAGGCCAGATTCTCAGCATCTCTGTCAGCTCAGGGTTCAGATCCCGGGTCTGACTGTGGAGAGATGAACAGAAAGGCTGTGGCAGGTAATCCAGAAAAACAAAACGATGAAATAAATTTAAGGGACGCAACAATGAGTGTGGAAGGGAGGCAAAAAAGATTGAGAGGTTGGGAAGTAGACGTCTGGAGGGAAGATGTGTCCAAGACAGTTAATCCCCAAAGTCGCTCCTTTCACTCACTCTCAGGAAACTCACCTCACAGCCCCCGAAACGCCTTGCTCTGTGGGGGAAGAGGCTGTCTGAGGGCCGGGGAGGATCCCAGGCTCTTGGAGAACCCAGGCAAGGGCAGCAGTTCTGCTTGCTGCTCAGCGAGGGCCTGCGTCGGTCACCTAACAGGCTGGCTGGGATTCTTGACTGTCCTGGATGTAACGCGCTACGGAGGGAAGGTGCCCCAGCTGCTCTCCGGAAGTCCTGAGGGGACTCCTGGGCACATGCTGAGTTCATCAGCTGCTCAGGTTATCAAGAGCTAGCGGGGCATTGTCTTTGCTTCTGCAAAGCCCCTTTGGTCCTTTCCTCTGCATGGGTGAGCACTCTCTCTGGGCACCTTCAGTCAGAAAACTCCATTCTGGAGGGTTGGTGCCACATTTTAAGATAAGGATGGTGGCCGGGAGCGGTGGCTCACACCCGTAATCCCAGCACTTTGGGAGGCTGAGGTGGGCGGATCACTTGAAGCCATGTGTTCGAGACCAGCCTGGCCAACACGGTGAAATCTCGTCTCTACTAAAAACACAAAAATTAGCTGGGCACAGTGGTAGGTGCCTGTAATCCCAGCTACTCAGGAGGTTGAGGCAGGAGAATCGCTTGAAGCCAGGAGTCGAAGGTTGCAGTGAGCCCAGATTGTGCCACTGCACTCCAGCCTGGGGGACAGAATGAGATTCCATCTCAAAAAAAAAAAAAGCAAGTTCTTAGGCCCCACATCAAAACTACTGAATCAGAAACTTTGGTGTGGCGCTTAGCAAGCTGGGCTTAAACAAGTCCTCCAGGTGATTCTGATTCATGCTAAACTCTGAGAACAACCCTGAAAGCATGAATGTAGTGGGCAGAAGTAAAGACTGCAATAATGTGTGAAATTGGAAGAGCTGTTTATGAATAAGATTGTTCTGTGTGCCTTCATAGGAAGAGTTAGGATAAAGGGGCACAAGCTGAAGATAGATAATTTAGTTTCAGTTAAGGAAATGATACTGAATAAATAGAACTTGCGGGGAGTGTGATATATGCCTGCTGAAGGCACGCCGTCACTGGGCTAAACATCCTGCGTCCTGAGTTAGATGATTGGTTAGGGATGTGGTAGAAATTTCTGCAGAGGTTTAATTAGATGTGTGCAAGAAATCTGCAAACTCAGAAAAGCCATGATTTCATTCTTCTTGCAAATCTTTTCTTCTTCAGCTCTTTATCAAGAGCCAGGGCAAACTTTTGGTTGTTCTGCCATTCCCAAGAACCTCTTTCAGCTGAGCATTTATAGCTTTTTGTTACAAACAGGCAAATACTGAGGGCAGGTGGCTATTCTAGCCTGCTGGGCAGGATTTTCTCAGGACTGTTCCATTCTGGACCAGCTGTGCAGCAGCTTAGAGAACAACTTCCTCTACCACCATTCTGGAACTTCCTTATTTTCTTGCTTATGCTGAATGTCCTATTTCCTTCATCCCATGTCTTGTTTTTTTTTTTTTTTTGAGACAGGGTCTCGCTCTGTGTCACCCAGGCTGGAGTGAGTGGCAGGATCTCAGCTCACTGCAGCCTCTGCCTCCCAGGCTCAAGCGATCCTCGTGCCTCAGCCTCCCAAGTAGCTGGGACTACAGGCACATGCCACCACTTCCAGCTAAGTTTTGTATTTTTAGTAGAGACGGGGTTTTACCATGTTGGCCAGGCTGGTCTTGAACTCCTGACCTCAAGTGACCCACCTGCCTCGGCCTCCCAAAGTGTTGGGATTATAGGCGTGAGCCACCGTGCCTGGCCCATGTCTTTTTATTATTCATTTTGGTGGAGCACACTCTCAAATGGACTCTCTAATAGGTTCCAAGGAAGGTCAATCTTTTCAATCTTGCATGTCTGAAAATGACTTTCTTCTATAATACCTTAACAGTTGGTTGAAAGTTTGGCTGGGTACAGAATCCTAGGTTAGAAATTATTTTTCTCAGAATTTAGAAAATCTGCTCCATGATCTTCCATCTTCTAGTATTTCTGTTGACAAATTGAGTGACATTCAATTTCCAATTCTTGTATGCAGCTAGTATTTTTGTCTCTTGCTGGCTCTTGAAGCATCATCTCTGTTGTTCAGAAATTTCATGATGATGTCTCTTCAATCTGGAAATGCATATTTTTTAGTTTGGGAAATTTTCTTTTATTATTTCTTTGATAAACTCCCTTGCTTTGTTTTTTCTGTGCTCTTATTTCTGGAATTCCTGTTAGACTGATCATCTAATTTTCTTGTCTTTCCTGTTTTCCTTTTGTCTTTTAATGAATCTATTCTCTTTATCTTTAGAATTTTCATTTACTCCTTGAGTCGTGTTTCCTCTGAGATACTTTGTTCTTATGTTTGTTTTGGGTTGTTTTTTTTTTTTTTTTTTTTTTTTTTGAGACAGAGTCTCACTCTGTTGCCCAGAGTGCAGTGATATGATCTTGGCTCACTGCAACCTCCGTCTCCCAGGCTTAGGTGATCTCCCACCTTAGCCTCCTGAGTAGCTTGGACTATAGGCACATGCCACCACACTTGGGTAATTTTAAATATTTTATTTATTTATTTATGGAGACAGTGTTTTTCCATGTTGCCCAGGCTGGTCTCAAACTCCTGGACTCACAAAATCCACCCACCTCAGCCTCCCAAAGTGCTGGGATTACAGGCCTGAGTCATTGCGCCTGGCTGGCTGGACTGTCTATCTTTTTGGAGGTTTTCTTCATCTTTAAGAGTAAGACGCAAACCGGCTAACTGAAAGATTGAAACTCATGCGTGGGGCATGTGGGTTGAGGTGTCTCACCATAGAAGGATTGCATGGGAACTGGCCAAATTACTACCGGATCCCTCAAATATCAGAATGTAAGTATTTTCTCTTCATGCCAGTTAGCTTGCCTAGAGAGGGATCCTCAGATTTCTTGCCTGGGGAAATACAGTTCTCTGTATTGGTTATGGTAGACGGCATGGGAAGGAGGCTGGGAATAGGCTGATGTCACTGTTCAGTGTTCTGTCCTTCTCTAAATCCACCTAAATTCATCCTCTCCCCTTGGCAGCCTGAAAGAGAGTGGGACAGTTGCTTGCAGGAGCTGGAGGATCTATGGGTCTAACTGCTCCTCTCAGAGAATTTTAGCCCGTCATCCTGATTTCACTCTCTGGCCTTTGGAGATCCCAGGAGCTGCTACTGGGGATTCTTTATTGGGCTCTGGGGAGCTAAATGGCTTCTCATTGGTTGCCTTCATGGCAGGCAGTCATTTCAGCTTCCTCCACGCTGCACCCGCTCATCCATTTATTTTATACCTTCCAAATTTTGTTGATATCCCTCATAAGCCATAATCTCATTTCCCATTATCTTTTCCCATGTGGCTTAACCCTTCTTTTTAAATGTCACTTTGGTGAGGATTTGAGAGGGAATATAGAGAAATAGGTGTGTTAATTTGCCACATATAACCATTAATCTACTCATTGATTTTACATTTGTTTTGTTTGAAAAGTGCATAAAGCTCTAAGTTTAACTCTAAATGACATTAGCTAGATACCACACATTTTATGTTTTGTATGAAAATATTTCTATTTTGTATAAACACGTCACAATTTACTTGTATTTTTCCTTAATGGTTTCTTGATGTTGTGGTTTATGTCTAATTTCATTGCAATGCGAGCAGAGAACAAAGTCTGTGAAATATTAATACTTTGGAATTTTTTGAAACCTGCTTTGTGGTTTAGTAAATGGTCAATTTTTATAATATAATTCTTTTATTGTGGTAAAAGACATGTATTGGCTGGGGGTGGTGGCTCATGCCTGTAATCCCAGTACTTTGGGAGGCCGAGACAGGTGGATTGCTTGAGGTCAGGAGTTTGAGACCATCCTGGCTAACATGGGGAAACCCCGTCTCTACTAAAAATTAGCCGGGCGAGGTGGCACATGCCTGTAGTCCCAGCTACTCGGGAGGCTGAGGCAGGAGAATTGCTTGAACCCAGGAGGCGGAGGTTGCGGTGAGCGGAGATCATGCCGCTGCACTCCAGCCTGGGCGACAGAGAGAGACTCCGTCAAAAAAAAAAAAAAAGAAAGAAAGAAAGAAAGAAAGCCTGGCTGCTGGAAAATTGAAGTTTGAAGAAGCCTCAGCAACTCCCACATGTGGTGGCTAGTCCTAAAATACCAGTGATGGAGCCTCCAGCTTTCCTCTTCTGTGCACGCCAGGAACCCTTCTGTCAGATGCGTGCAAGATGGGAAGGGGCCGTCAAAGCACTGCCACTGAAGTTTCCTTCCCTTTAGGACTCAAAATGCCCACCGTCCTCCCCAAGAGAAGTTGTTCTCCAGCAGCTCTGATTCCTCAGCAGTAAAGGAATCAAAGTCTATCCCCGGGGGCAGTCTATTTTACTGAAATTAACCCCTGCAGTGTCTTGAAACTTGGCATCATTGGGGACTGATCAAAAGACAATAACTCTCTTCAGGGTAAACTTAGACTGTAAAACTTCAGAGGATTTTTTTTTTGAGACGGTGTTCACTCTGTCACTAGGCTGGAGTGCAATGGCATGGTCTCAGCTCACTGCAACCTCCGCCTCCTGGGTTCCATCGATTCTCCCACCTCAGCCTCCTGAGTAGCTGGGACTACAGGCGTGTGCCACCACGGCTGGCTAATTTTTGTATTTTTAGTAGAGACGGGGTTTCACTATGTTGGCCAGGCTGGTCTGGAACTCCTGACCTCGTGATCCGCCCGTCTCAGCCTCCCAAAGTGCTGAGATTACAGGCATGAGCCACTGCGCCCGGCCCAGAGGATATTTTAAAATCAAGAATTCCAGTAAAATGAGGCATAGTGGCTCACGCCTGTAATCCCAACACTTTGGGAGGCCAAGGCGGGAGGATCGCTTGAGCATGGGAGTTCTAGACCAGCTTGGGCAACATAGGGAGACCCTGTCTCTACTATAAAATTGAAAAATTAGCTGGGAGTGATGGTGCATGCCTGTGGTCCCAGCTACTCTGGAAGCTGAGGCGGGAGGATCGACTGAGCCCAGAAGGTCGGGGCTGCAGTGAGAGGTGATTGCACCACTGCACTCCAGCCTGGGTAACAGTGGCAGACCCTGTATCCAAAAGAAAAAAAATTCCAATAAAGCAAGAGGCACTGAGCAGATGATGAAATTTAAATATGCATAATTGTAAGCAACTGTTTTCAGTGTGAAGCGATCTTTTTTCCCCCTCGAGGTGATAAATTAATGCAGAATGTGAAATCAGGAATTTTGGATATTGCATAAATGATTTCAATGAGAATTTGAGTTTCATGGCTAGAAATATTCCAAAAGGAAAAAAAATTTGAGTTTCTGCACTAAAGCTAATAGCTAAAGCTTTTTGTAAATGTGATGTCAAATGTGGGATTTTGATAGCAGTATAGGATATTGCTACTGAAATGCATCACAGTTGGAAAAATGTGTGCTTTATCAATTTGTTCAATAAAACTCACATAATCTGAAGTTATGTAAATCAATAGAAAGCTTCAACAGCTTTCTGGATAGCATTAAAATAATAAATTATACTTTCTTAACAGTTGCTTATTAATTTTACCTGGTTAGTCTCTGTTTTTCTTTTCCTAGAATTTCAGATTGGATTTTGGAAGTTTGGACTTAAATAGCTTTAAGGTAATGGACACTTGTTATTCAAAGGCTTCACAAAGTTGGTTATGTAGTTAAACTGAGCCTCTCTGTGTGTCTGCATGTAAATGCGTGTGTGTGTGTGTGTGTGTGTGTAAATCCCTAAATTAAAGCTTAAATTTTGACCCATGAGTCAAGAGGATTTCAGATAAAACCTCAAGAGCTCGTATTTATGTGAATATTTCTTGTTACTGCTATCTTTGTGTCTTTGTGCCCCACAGGCAAATAGTCTTTTTTTTTTTCTTTTTTTTTAGGCGGAGTCTCACTCTGTTACCCAGGCTGGAGTGCAGTGGCGCAATCTCCGCTCATTGCAGCCTCTTCCTCCTGGGTTCAAGCGATCCTCCCACCTCAGCCTCCCAGGTAGCTGGGATTACAGGTTTGCACCACCATACCCAGATAATTTTTTTGTATTTTTAGTGGAGACAGGGTTTCACCATGTTAGCCAGGCTGGTCTTCAACTCCTGACCTCAAGTGATCTGCCCACCTTGGCCTCCCAAAGTGCTGGGATTACAGGTGTGAGCCACCACGTCTGGCCAAAAGTCTTACAACTGATACTGAATTTCAAAAAATTCCTAACTGCGAGAATCATCTAGCAAACACCGGAAAAACTTAGTATAGCAATACAAACCATATTTAGTTGCTTAAAGAAGTCACATACTGTAAAAAGAGAAGCTTTTAGCTCATAAAAGGGAACCATATAAATTTGAAAAGGTAGATCCGACTTTAGCCAGGTGATCAAAGTCAACATCATCAGTAATAGGTCATTTTCATAGTATATACCCTTGATGCGACGTGAGGAAAACGGCACCTTGCTTTTATGGTCTTCCTTTTAAAAACTCTTAACACCAGCCTAACCATTTAGAAAAACAACAGACAAATTCCAGTAGAGAGTATTCTATAAAATCTCTGAACAATATTTCTCAAAACTTGTCAAGGTCATCAAAAACAAGGGAAGTCTGAGAAACTGTCACAGTCCACAGAGCCTCAGGAGACATGACAACTAAATGTAATGTGGTGTCCTGGAGGAGATCCTGGATCAGAAAAGGGACATTCGATAAAAACTTAGGAAATCTGAATAGGCATGGACTTTAATTAATGATAATGTATCAGTGTTGGCTCACTGATTTTAACATGCTAATGTAGGATGTTAGTAATAGGGGAGGCCGGGTGTGGAGTAGATGGAAACTCCGCACTATCTGTGCAGCTGTAAATCAGACTTTTCTAAAAAATAGTCAATTTAAAAAAAGCTACACAGGGATAGAATGTGTTGCTTTAAATGTAAGGAAACCTTAAAATACAAAGGATCTAATTTATTTAAACATTTTTAAAGGAGGCAGAACTCACTGGGCTAGAAGTGATATATACACACATTGCACTAATAACTGTGCATTCAGTTATTGTAGATGACCAGGTAGTGGTAAAGTGAAAATTAGGTGCACTGGAAATTTGAGATTGGAGTGGAGCTGGTAAGCAGACCTTCCTTGCACCCTCTAGGAGTTGACTTGTCATCAAGAAAAGACTTGAGGCCAGGCGTGGTGGGTCACACCTGTAATCCTAGCACTTTGGGAGACTGGTGGATAGCCTGAGCCCAGGAGTTTGAGACCAGCCTGGGCAACATAGGGAAACCCAGTCTCTACAAAAAATACAAAAATTAGCCAGGTGCAGTGGTGCACACCTGTGATCCCAGGTACTCTAGAGGCTGAGGTGGTAGGATTACCTGAGCCTGGAGGTCGAGGCCACAGTGAGCTGTAATTGCATCACTGCACTCCAGTCTGGGTGACAGAGCAAGACTCTGTCTCAAAAAATAAATAAATAAAATAAAAAAGAAAAGACTCAAAGCTAAAGCCCAGTGAGAGCTTATAACTGGCAGGAGGTATAGAATTAAGAAAATAAAAGTTTTTAAAGAACCAAGCCCATAGTGTCAAAATTTTTGTATTAATTGGAAATCTGGGCATATTTGGTATTTTATTTATTTCTATGAGAACTTTTTGGGCTATTAAAGTGAGCATCTCATAATTAACTTAAAATGTGTAACTTGGCCAAGCGCAGTGGTGCACACCTGTAATCCCAGCACTTTGGGAGGCTGAGGCGGGCAGATCACGCGGTCAGGAGTTCAAGACCAGCCTGGACAACATGGTGAAACCTCATCTCAACTGAAAATACAAAAACTAGCTGGGCGTGGTGGTAGGTGCCTGTAATCCCAGCTACTTGGGAGGTTGAGGCAGGAGAATTGCTTGAACCCAGGAGGCGGAGGTTGCAGTGAGCCGAGATCCTCCACTGCACTCCAGCCTGGATGACAGACAGAGCAAGACTCTGTCTCAAAAAAAAAAAAAAAAAAAAAAAAAAAAGTGTAACTTAAAACTTCTAATTTTAGGTTGAAATATTGTTTATTCTTAGCATCAAAACAACTAATAAAGTGTGAAACTCAGTATATTTATAAGTTTAATTTATTAGATTGGTAATAATTATTTGGTACTTAGGAAAGGTATTTAAAAGGGAAATCAAATTTTAAATGTAGTTGAAAATGTTGTAAGGTGTTCAAGTTCATAAATGGAATCAAAGTCACCTTAAAAGCAAATGATAGAATTTGGTAGGGTTACAGCTTCTAATGGAACAATGAGGTCTACGAGGCAAACTGAAAAAGCTTAGAAAAGCATTTGCAGGCCTTCCCCACCCTGTGGCATCCCCGGCTACTGAGACTCATCAAGCCTCCAAGAGCTGTGTGAAGACGCTGGGCTTGTCATGCAAACCCCTAAGTCACCACCCACTGTGGAAGGACCCATCTTCCGCATCTCTTACAATGCCATGTCTTGTCTTTCAGCAATGGAAAAATTTTTAACTCCTGGACAGGCACAGTAATAGCCCAATGAATGTATAGGTATACAGAAAGTGACCATGTAATTTATTATACAAACCAGGACATGTTTGACAGTGAAAGTGGACACTGTTAATAATTATTCTGGGGCAATAGACTTAAACCAGGATTGCCCTGAGCAAACCAAGACATCTGGTCCCTCTAGTTCTAAATGTATGGTTGTAAATCCAGAAGGGAAAGTAAAGAACTCACTTTCCATCATAAGACAGTACCCAGTGTCAGCAAAATGCCAGATCCTTTACTGTTCTACTGGGAAAGCTCTAAGAGCCCTTTCAAATGTCTGTTGTTACAACACTGTCAAATAGCCTGTTATTAACTTAGGACTCTAAGGTCTACCAGCCCCTACATATCATGAGGTTTCTTCTTCACACCTGGGTGTCATGAGACCCTGTGTCTTCCACTGACTAAAAAGCAATTTTTTTTTTTTTTTTGAGACAGTCTCGCTTTGTCGCCCAGGCTGGAGTGCAGTGGTGTGATCCCACCGCCACGCTCGGCTAATTTTTTGTATTTTAATAGAGACTGGGTTTCACTGTGTTGCGCAGGCTGGTCTTGAACTCCTGAGCTCAGGCAATCCTCCCGCCTTGGCCTCCCAAAGTGCTAGGATTACAGGCGTGAGCCACTGTGACTGGCCGACCACAATGCAATTCTTAGCGTTAGTCTCTACCGGTGTACAGAGGTCAGTCTGTAATTCTGAGTTAGAAAATAGAGGCTGGTGGCTGCCTAGCTGCTGACTGGTGTGGTTTCTCCAAATCCGGATTCTCATAAATGATCAAGCCTTATTTTAAAGTCTGAGTCTGTGGTCTTTGATTTTTCTACAACTACATACATAAAAAGGCACCCTATGTCTTCCTGGGTATCTTTTATTTTTTCCCTGTAGACTGCCTGATAGACGCCTTGTGCCAAATGTGTGGTCATATTATTTTTTTCATCCAAACCCAATGGATTTTTGGCAGTTAACCCAATTCTGGTGTGCTCTCCTGTTGTGGGAAAACAGGGTAACAGACACTTTGGCCCAATACATTGCAGGGACTCGGCATCCATCTCAAGCTGGCAAATCCATCTCAACCTTCGAATTTTAATGTTAAGAAATAAGTACAGTGACCACATAGTACTAGAAGCCACAGTTTATTTTTATTTTTATTTTTTTTGAGACAGAGCTTCACTCTTGTTGCCCAGGCTGGAGTGTAATGGCGCGATCTTGGCTCACTGCAACCTCCGCCTCCCGGGTTCAAGCGATTCTCCTGCCTCAGCCTCCTGAGTACCTGGGATTACAGGCATGCACCACCACACCTGGCTAATTTTGTATTTTTTTTAGTAGAGACGGGGTTTCTCCATGTTGGTCAGGCTGGTCTGAAACTCCTGACCTTAGGTGATCCACCCGCTTCGGCCTCCCAAAGTGCTGGGATCACAGGCATGAGCCACAGCACCCGGCCTTAGAAGCCACAGTTTTACCCTTTAGTGTGAAAGAGTTTAATCAGATAATCCTCCTAACATCTGACTGAGCTCTAGAGGGAAGGTAGAGGGGTCTCAATGCAATGGATGGGGTTGAGACTACAGAGGGCCAACTCCAAAAGCGGGGTTCTAGACAGCCGGAGAGCAGCTGGAAGGTCCTTCAAAGGCATATTGGCCTTGGGACAGCGCTTTGTCTTGTGATTTTTTTTTTTTATGAGGCCATCGTTCCATCAGCCAAACGTTCTGCCGAGTGGAGAGGTGGCTATGGGCTTCCAAAATGGTAGCCAAGAGAATACGCGACTATAGGTAGATGGAGTGAGTCTAGTTTTTTTCCCTTTTGCATCTAATTCTTCCTCCTAATTATTTCAGATAATTTGGCAACCTTGTCCCTGGAAATCTGGCACCACTGGGGCTCCTGTCTCTCAGAATTAAAAAAAAAAAAAAATCCAGTCTCTGCACAAGCCTCCCAGTGAGCTGCCACCCAATAGGAGAGACAGATCAAAGCTGCCTTTTCTTAGCAACTGAAGCCTTGCCCAGCCACCGTAGAAGAGATCTCTGCCAAACTCCCTCCTCTTTGAAGAAACACAACAGAGTCCAAGTGAGAAGTAGCTACAGTTTAATACAAACCTGCACCAGAACACAACGTGTCGGGCTGTTTAGTTTTTGCCTCAAACGGTGGCCAAAGCACAGGACCATGTGTCGTCTTGGGGTTGACACAGTCTTAGCACCATGACATTTACAGGGGAGTGGGGAAGTCACCTGGGTGCTGGGGTGCTGGAGGCTCCATCCGACCCCAGGCTGTGCCTGCGCCTCAGCAGCTGGAGGGGGTTTGGGTTTCCTTGTGGTTCTGTGGCTTCTGGGTCAGTATCAGAAAAGCCCTCATCACGACATCGGCTTGACAGAGACCTACTGTGGACTCCTAGCACTACACACACGCACGCACACGCACACACAGTAGCACAATTTTCTGGCAACTTAACCCCACAAACCTAGAGAGCAGCTAAGGCAAGAACAACAGTATTTATTCAGCAAGTACAAGACCAGTTTGAGAGCTGCATTCAGTGCAACCAGAGACCCTTTCGTTCCAACCAGGAGCCAGTGGGGCTGGTGACGAAGCTGGCTGGAGCTCTGCACGGGGCAAGGAGTGCATGGTGGGGGCTGACCGCTCATTTGGCTCCTTGAATCTCTTTCTGATTTCTATCTAGAAGCTCCCGGGCAAGGGTAGGGCCTATGTAGGGACTGGGGGTGGATGAAGCGCATGGCCTACAGTGGACCACTCCAAGACGTGGTTCCCTGGTGCCACGGGTCACACATCTCTCAGGCGGAGGCACTCAGAGAAGGTAAAGCTTTCCTAGCCCAAGCAAGGATGCTCTGCCCAGCTGGCCACCACCGCTGCTGCTGGGCTCTTTGACATCTGCCCAAGGCCCATGACCCAGTGAGGGCTGACAGGGATAGAGATGGTGTGCACTGCACCAGGAGGCGGCGTCATGGTTTCCCCCATCCCTGGTGGCTTTCCCAGGCCTGGGTCCTCACCCCTGTTCCAATGGCTGCCACTTGCCATGAGCCCCTTCGCCACCTCTGCTCCCCGGCTGACCACCTCTGTCCTCTCAGCCCCTGAGTGAGGAAAGGGGGAGTGAAGGGAGAAGTGAGGGTGTGGACGCAGCTCACACTGCACGGTTAGCCCCCAATGGGTGACTAGTCTTGGCTCAAACACAGAATGTGCATGAGGTTGTTTATAAGAAAGATGAGAAAAAAAATCTATCTTCCTGTGCAAAACAAAGCAGGCTGCCTACCAGGAAAGTAAGTCTTCTCATTGGTTAAACTCTCAGGTGGGATCTACAATAGATGTCACCCCAGACCTCCTCTCCACAGGTGGGGTAGATAGCCAAGGTTGGGAGGGTCATCACAGACACTTCTGGGGTCAGAGGACCTGAACTTTCTGGGTCTTAGTTTCCTCATCTGTAAAATGGGAAGAATAATAAGTGCTCCATTGTCATGAGGACTAAGTGAGAGGTCATATACGGAAGTGGTTTGAATACATGAAAAGCACTACAGAGATGTGCAGGGGCTGACTTTTTTGTTTGTCTGTTTTTTGAGATGGAGTCTCACTCTGTCGTCCAGGCTGAAGTGCAGTGGCGTGATCTTGGCTCACTGCAAGCTCCGCCTCCCGGGTTCACGCTATTCTCCTGCCTCAGCCTCCTCAGTAGCTGGGACTACAGGCGCCCGCCACCACGCCTGGGTAATTTTTGTATTTTTAGTAGAGACGGGGTTTCACCGTGTTAGCCAGGATGGTCTCGATCTCCTGACTCCATGATCCACCCGCCTTGGCCTCCCAAAGTGCTGGGATTACAGGCGTGAGCCACCGCACCCGGCCAGGGGCTGACCTTTAACCGAGGGTCCAGAAGCCTCGCGCAAGCCTCGGGGGCTGAAATCACATGTGCAACATGAAGTCACTTCCCACGGGGCAGACCAGGCTTAACAAGGGCAGGCGGCTGGGTCACTTCCCAGATCACTGGAGGTGGAAGGAGACACCCGGCCTCTAGTGTTTCCATGGGAACTTCTGTGGGGCTTTAGAAGCAGGGAGGGCCCACCTGGATGGACAGGGGAGAAGATGAGGCCATGAGCTGGCAAGGGCCTGGTGCCGACCACGGGAGATCACGGCACCTGAGCAGCAATGCGGGTTCGACAGCCAGGTCCTGTGGGCCTGGGGTCTCCCTCTCTGGTGTCTGGCAAGCCCCTCTCCCACTCCTCCTCTCTCAGCAGGCATGAGGCCTCTTGCCAGTCACACAGGAGGAGCGCTGAGTCTCTGTCCAGCAGGAAGAAGTTATAGGAAGCCGTGCGTGTGTGTGTGTGTGTGTGTGTGTGTGTGTGTGTGTGGTGGCAGGTGAAGACAGGGGAAGGCAAGGGGAGTGCTGGGAGTGATCAGGGGCAGAGAGGGGAAAGGACACCTGCTTCCTGAAGGGCTGGCATCTCTGGGGCTAGCATCCCAGGCCCCCTTTTGGAATGTGGGAAACTAGACAAGGAGGGGAGGGGAAGGGGAAAGGGCCAGGGCCTCCCGCAGCCCAGAAGACTGCAGGCGGGGAAAAGAGAGGCCTGTGAGCCCAGCCCCCTCCACCACCCCTGCCCTGTGCTGTCTGGTTGGTGTCAAGTGCAGCGTCTCCTAAGGACCACATCTATTCCTGTCGCTATTCTATGCTAGTGACACAAGCACCGTTATTTTTCACAGGATGCACAAACAAGTCAAACCAAACTACTGCGCAAACCAAACGTGCAAAACAAAACCATTTACACGCGCCTGGCACCAGCCTCGAGCCCCGCCCAGCTACCCTTCTGGGCCTGTGACCCCCCGAGGGTGTGGGCGGGGCGCAGGAGAAGCTGGCGAGGGGCACCAGGAGTCCCAGCCACCCCCATCCCTGCCCCTACACAGGGCCAGAGGTGGGTTGGGGGAGATAGGACGTCCTGGGCATGGCTGGGAAGCTGACATCTGTCTGACTTGGGAAATGTCACCACGGGGCCTAAGGGGTGGGGGAGGAGGCCTTTACTTTGAAACCACATCTGCTAAAGTGCTCTGGGCAACTGGCCAGTCAGCCAGGGGGCAGGGCACTAAAGTCTGGGCTTTCCCAAAGCCAGCGGAGGCAGGAGTGAGAGGAAGGGCTGGCCAGGGCTCTATGCATTGGGCTCTGTGCATAGTGTGGGCTTCCTGGGCCCCAGAAAAGCCCGCCGAGGCCAAGGCAGAAAGGACTACAGCAGGAGGAACACATCTCAAAGTGCCTGTTAGAGTTGGCTCGAAGCACAGTGAATCACTTTGCAGACATAGGGAGGGCTCCGTGGGTCCCGGGGCCCCCCTCGGGTGGTGTGCCACCCAGCCCAGCCTCTCCTGCCCCTGCAGCTTCGGCTGGAGAGTTGCGGGCTGGTGGCGGCGGTGCGTCCTCACTCGGGGGGCTTGGCAATGCCTTTACCAAATGCCACTCGACCTGCCTCCGGGAGGAGCGAGGATCCGAGCTGAAGCTCGCTTTGGAACATGGTCATCGATCTGAGAGCCTGCAGGGAAGGAAGCACAGAGGGTGAGACGGGCTCTTGTGCCTGCTAACAAACCACAGACACCCTCTCCTGGAGGCTCACTGTGTGCATGGCCTGAGTGAATCCTCACAGCCACTCCATCCCATCTTATAGATGAGGAGACAGAGGCTCAGGGAAGTTAAGTGACTTGCCCCATGTTGCAGTGTGTAAGTGGCAGAGCCTGGACTTGGACCCAGGTTTTCCTGATTCAGAGCCGACATTATTAACTGCCCACTGTGCCAACTTCACTGCCCCATGCCTAGGCATACAGTCTCTCGTACATGCAGGTCATTGGCCAGCCTGTTGGCACATGGGCCTTTGTACATATGCCTCAGTGAGTAAGCGAGAGAGAAAAATGAGGGTATGCCATTGTTTCGGAAAATGAAAGAACCACAGCCCAAAGGCCCCGCATCTTGAAATCCCATGACTTAGTTACAAAGGGAGGGTCTATACAGGAGAAGGATTGAAAAAAAAAAACAAAAACAAACAAAACACAAAGGGAGGGAAAGGGAGGGTCTAGTGCCCCGGAGAGCCCAGTGGGACATTCTTCAGCCTGGCCTGCTTAGAACAGACAAGATTTGGGGTAGAGAGGAGGGGACAGGCTGCCTGATGTTTGCTGTCTGAGCGGGGGTTCTGCCCAGTCTTGGCTCTCAGGCAGGAGAAGAGGAGGCTGCTGGTCAGCAGGGGCCCTGCAGCTCTGGGGTCTTGGTGCCTCTCGTGGGTCTGGCTGCAGGAGGAAGGCGGTGGGAGTCCATGCCTCCGGGACTGGCAAGACCTGAGTGTGCATAAACAAGTCTTCCATGCCAGGGTCCCTTTCTGACTTCACTCATGGCCCGTCACTGGTGGGAGTGGCAGTGGCCCTCAGAGTAGCGGAGCCATCATCTCAGGAATGAGACTGGTCCTGAGAGAGGACCCCTCCCCATGGGCTACCAGCACCTCCAACAGGGACCTCATCTCTTCTGCCACAAGCTGCGCCTGGCCCAAAGCAGGGCACACAGGAGCCTGGGCAGGCAGGCGCTGACCCATTGGCATCCCTCTGGTTTAGCCCTCTGTTCTCACAGCAGGATGGTTTGTGTATGGGGCTTGTCTCCCCCAGTAAACTCCAGGCTGTGGGTGGAAGGACCAGGGTCTTGCGCCTCTCGCCGTACCCATCCCAGCACAGCCCTTACTGAGTGGGTGCTTGGTCTCTCTCTGGGCTTATCCTGAAGGCAGCTCAACTGTGCTCAGGGAGACTCAGGGTCCTAGCCCCCTGCAAGTGGTGGTGACAGTTCCCACCTAAGCCACCTGGAGGCCCGAGGCATCTTACAGCCTCTGCTTGTTCTCCACTGAGGATCATCATTTATGAGCCCGTGGCTCGCATGGTGATGGGTGCGGGGGGGGACGGGGGGGCGGGAAACTGCAGATCGTGGCTTTAAGAACTGGGATCGCACCCCCCAAGGAACCCAGAGATTCCACAGAAGGACTGGGGCCAGGACCCAAAGGACAGAAAGATAAGAGAAAAAACTGGGCATCAGAAGTCGAGAGAAAATATTTTACTTAAAGTTAATAAAATATATACAATACAATTCCTGGTAAAAAAAAAAAAAAGAAGGTGAAGGTGAGGCAAAGGCGGGGAAAGGTGTGGGAAGGTCAGAGGAGGAGAGGGGGTAGCAGAAGGAGTAGAGAGGCTGGTGAGGAGTGGGCTGGGGTGGGCGAAGGGCTGGTCGGTGCAGTCCCGTGAACCACAGACAGGGCTGACTCTTCTGAGCTCAGGGCATCTCTGGAGCACCCACTGTGTGCACAGCCCTCAAGATGTTTCAAGGGACAAAAATATCTGAACTTAGAAACCCCGAGCAGAGCCCCAGGTGGGCCATGGCCTATTAGAGCGTCTGTGCCCAGGGACCAGGACAGCCCTCCTGTCCCCACTAATGTCTATGTGAGTCTAATATCCAAACCAGCACTCATCCCTGGAAATAGGCAACGGGAGGGAGGAGAGGACACAAAAGAAAAGCAGGCGTAAGTCCCACTGCCTAGGTGGGCCACTTCTCCCAGACCCCCATCCTCCTCCCGTGGCCCCCTGACTCTTACCAGAGAGGCTGAAGCTGGATTCGTGAAGGTCCCTCATGCCCCCATGCCGGGTGACGGGCCGGGTAGGAGTGTCTGCGAGTGGGGTTCCCATCTCTTTTTTCCCAGGGTGCACGACAACAGCGACATCCCCCAGGTAGGGAGTGCGGTCCACTCCTCTAACCTTTAAAGTCTAGGGAAGGATGGAAGAAGAGCAGAAGAACAGGACAACACCATCAGAGCTGAGTGATACAACCATGGCCTCCCTGGGGGCCGGTGGGACATTAGACACTGCCACTCTGCCCAAGACCCAAATCACTGCAAGTGACCAAGGCTTCTTAAACATTGAGTCCAGGGGCTGGAGTTTTCTCATACCTCCTAAAGAGCATGTGCATATGTGTACATGTGTGCATGCGTGCATGTATGTGAGTGCACATGTGTGTGTGCATGCATGTGTATGGGAGAGATACTGGCTCCCCCTCAACACTGATGGAAGCCTCACCGAGGTAGCAGGTAGACATCTGAGGAAGTCAACTTTAACCAAATTTTTCTTTTCTTTTTTTTGAGACAGAGTCTCACTCTGTCGCCCATGCTGGAGTGCAGTGGTGCGATCTTGGCTCACTGCAACCTCCGCCCCCGCAAAGTGATTCTCCTGCCTCAGCCTCCCAAGTAGCTAGGATTACAGGCGCCTGCCACCGTGCCTGACTAATTTTTGTATTTTTAATAGAGACGGGGTTTCACCATCTTGGCCAGCTGGTCTTGAACTCCTGACCTCGTGATCCACCCGCCTCGGCCTCCCAAAGTTCCGGGATTACAGGCGTGAGCCACCATGCCCAACCGGAAGTCAATTTTAGAGAGCGCCCTCCCACACAGCGCAACGTTATTCCCCACCTTAGGCTCCCACGAAGCCACACCCTTTACTGGTCTGACAACTCTGAGGGAACAGAGGCTAAACACAGCCCCATCTGGAGATGAGAGGCCCCCAGTAGCAATACTAGCTAATTCTGTACTCACAAAGGCAGTAGAGTTAGGAGTCTATATTCTACAACCAGACTGCCTAGGTTCCAATCCCAACTCTGTCACTTGTAAACTGTGTGGCTTTGTGCAAGTTACTTTTCTGTGCCCATAATACTATACCTACATCAGAGAGTTGCAGGAGAGCAGACGAATTAATATGTGTAAAGCTGTTCCAACTGCTCTGGCACATGAGAGGCAACACAGAAGTACGAGCAGTTATTACTGCAGAGGTCATTTATGGTCCTACATCGTATTAAAAAGTGTTATTGGGCCGCGCACAGTGGCTCACGCCTGTAATCCCAGCACTTTAGGAGGCCGAGGCAGACGGATCACTTGAGCCCAGGAATTTGAAAGCAACCCGAGCAACACGGTTAAACCCCGTCCATCTCCACAAAAAAGTAAACATTAGCTGAGTGTGATGAGTAAGAGACCCTGAGTTTGCTTTTGGATTTAGCCCTGCGATCACGAAAGTCACGCTTTCTTCATTCAGGCAGCCCAAGCCTGCGCTCCCACGGCAGACCTGGCAGTGGATTTCTTCACTCATTGGCCTCTGGGAGAGAAGGGTCCTTGGTTTCTCTGAAAGCTCTGAGCCCTCTCGTGTGCTCTGTGTGCCAGCAGTGTGGGCCTCCCGTGTTCAGGTGCCTGCTCCTCCTGTGCTTCAGACAATGCTTTGCAAATGCCAGCTCTACCCCCCGCTTGCTTCATCAAGAGTGGGAGGGAGCCGAGCCAAAGCAGCATCTCCAGCCCCCAGCACCTCCTCCACCCCAAGCCTGCGTATCCAGAGGAGCTCAGCGGTCGCACACACTCACATTTCCCACTTGTGCCCTCAGCAACTCAGGAGCCCTGCTGCCTGACCACTTAAAATGCCACTTGGTAATCAAAGACGGGGAACAGAAATCAGCATTTTCTGACTCTAGCGTTCCCTGGCGCTGCCGCACACTCCCCTCTCAACGCTGGAGAAAGTGCAATGGAATTGGGTCGAAAACTGGAGTGAACATCTCTTTGAGATTTAAAACAGTCATGGAGGATGTTCCCCGGCAGGGGGCGCCAACACCCCTGCATCTTCCTCCTCCCACCTCACCTTCTCTCTCTGGACCAGCTTCTTGTAGACAGTGTCTGGGAAGGACCTCAGGGGACAGAACTTGCCGGTGCCCTCGGCGCACATGAAGACGCCGTTCTCATACACGACGCGCCCCCGGCTGATGGTGACCAGTGGCACGCCGTGGCAGCGCATGTTCTCATACAGGTTGAAGTCTCCTCCCTGGACCTGCGTGCTGGCTGAGATGGTCCTGGTGGGGAGGCAATGGCGGGAGAGAAAGCGCTGAGGACAGGTCAAAATGTCACAGCTCCATGGGAGGGGTGAGCCCCAAAGGCTGGTTGTTATGGGTTGAATTGGCTCCCTTCAAAATTCTTCTGCTGAAGTTCTAACACCCAGAACCTCAGAACATGGCACTATTTAGGGCCTTTAATGTAATCATTAAGATAAAGTGAGGTCATATAGGTGGGCCCTAATCCAGTCTTATCGGTGTCCTTATAAGAAGAGGAGACAGACACACCAGACATGTGTGACACGGAAGAAAGACTGTGTGAAGATGGAGGGAGAAGATGGCCAACGGTAGGCCAGGGCCATATTTTGTGCTAGAAATAGTGCAAAATTATATGCTTTTGGAGATCTGTAATGCAAGTCTTCTTCAAAATCCCAAGCCCCTCTAGCCCTGGGGACGAGCAACAAACTTTACTTTGTGGCTTCTGGGTCCCACACCACCACATCAGCATCGGCTCCGGGAATAATGCGGCCCTTGCGGGGATACAGGTTCAGAAGCTTAGCTGCGTTGGAACTGGTAACGGCCACAAAACGGTTCTCATCCATCTTTCCTCCAACCTGAAATGTTGCAGAAAGTGTCAAGTCAACCAGGCTCTGGGGGTGGGTCTCAAACCCTTGGTCACCTTTGATGCTGGCCCATGGACTTAGGGCTTAGGTGGTCAGGACAGTGGTCACAAAGGGACAAGGCCATGAGCACCATCTCAGATGAGCCAGCCTGCTTGGCTGGGTCCCAGTTGCTCACTTATTCCTTTCTCCCTTCACCCAGCAACTATGGTGAGTGGCCGTGGTTCCATTCAGGCTTCCTGCCCGGGGGCAAATCTGCCTCCTGTTTGTAAAACCAGCTCTGCTCATGTGCCCACACGGATGAGTCAGGAACCTCCCTTCATCTACTAAGGGTGATATTTTCAAAGGGTTATATATGCTCTAGAAAAACATCTTATTGCCCCACCCATGAGAGTACTATGGACTCTCTTCAAGGGGATTTCCTGAGCCATCTCCTTGGCCTTCCATGAGCTTAGTCTTGAGAACTTCAAATCTCTTTGGGGCTCATACTATTTTAGATCTAATCTGAGATAGATCAAGACCAAAAATACTTATTCTTCATGTGCGGAACAGGTGGTATTCAAATGAAGTCCCAGTTCTTATCTTTTCTGAAAGCAATTAGACAAAATATATCAAATCAAGAGCCTTAAAAATGTTCACATCCCTTGGCCTAAAAATCCACTTCTAGGATGCTGTCTTAAGGAAATAATCAGAAATAATAATCAGAGGCCGGGTGCAGTGGCTCATGCCTGTAATCCCAGCACTTTGGGAGGCCAAGACGGGCGGATCACGAGGTCAAGAGATCGAGACCATCTGACCAACCAACATGGTGAAAACCCGCCTCTATAAAAAATACAAAAATTAGCTGGGCATAGTGGCGCACGCCTGTAGTCCCAGCTACTCGGGAGGCTGAGGCAGGAGAACCGCTTGAACCCGGGAGGCGGAGGTTGCAGTGAGCCGAGACAGCGCCATTGTACTCCAGCCCGGGCAACAGAGGGAGATTCTATCACACACAAAAAAAAATAAATAATAATAATAATAATAATAATCAGAAATGCTGACACACACTCCTGAACAAAGAGGTTCTCCTCAGCATTATTTGTAAGTGCAAAAATTAGAAACAGCCGAAAGTCCCAAACATCAGGGAAGGATTAAATAAAGTATGGTACTTTCATTGGAGAAAATATCATTCAGCTCTGAAAAAAGATGTTTTTAAAGAATTTTTACTGATATAGGGAGACACTCAGGGTATAGTGTTATATGAAGAAAAAAAATCCTGGTTAGTATAGCAGTTGGTAAAAGAAAAAAATATGAAGCCAGTTATTAAAATAATGTATAGCTGGGTGTGGTGGCTCACACCTATAATCGCAGCACTTAAGGAGGCAGAGGTGGAAGGATAGCTTGAGCCCATGAGTTCAAGACCTGTCTGGACAACATAGTAAAAAAGGAAAAAAAAAAAAAAAAGTACAGTACATGCACAGAACTAAATGAAAGAAATATATTAAAATGTTAATAGTAGTTTAATTTCTAGGCGTGGAATTAAGGTTTCTTTTTTTCTTATACTTTTCTGTATTTTCCAAATTTCCATAATAGGTCTTACTACCTTTCTAATTGGGGGAAAGACCTTTTGTGTTTTGTTTTTGAGTGAAACAAACAGCTGGGATTGAACCAGCCCTTCTAAGAACATTCTTTGACAGGATCTGAGGAGTGAATACTCTTATTGGGATTAGAACGGGGATGAAACGGGGATTAGAGCAGGGATCAGATCGGGGCGGGGCTCTAGGAAACATACCACTCCTCTCTCCCAGATGACGCTCATGCGGTCCTGCACGCCACTCACTCCATGTGGGATCTTGGTGAAGTCTTCCTTGCCCATAGCTTTCTGCTTTGTGGTGAAAGGCCGGTGATCTGATGCCACGATGTTCAGAGTGTCACTGGGTAGAGAAAAGGAGGTGACCAGTAAGGGGAGGGGAGGTGAGGAACTTAGAGGGTGAGGATAGATATAGGGAAAATCCTCCGTGTGGGAAGCAGGCAAAGCCGACTCCAATTTCAGCTCTGCCGCTTAGGCCATGTGGTCTGTCGTGAGTTACTGCATCTATGTGAACCTCAGTTTACTCATCTACAGAATGAGTGTGGCACAGTCTGTCTGTGTCACAGGAGACTTCAGTGAGAGCCTTGGGATAGCAATGTTTAAGAGTGAAGATAGCAGAGAAAAGCCGAACTTAGAGTCTAGCTGAAGTGAGATGGTGGAGGTAGTTCTACTCTCATGGAATTGTATACCAATTCCCTCTCATCAGCTCTCCAACCCCAACCTGCTGGCAACAAGCATTCACAAGTTCAGTGTTAAGCTTTGTTGAATAACTTGGACTCATAGCCTTCCTTGGATGTGGGGATTCTAATGGCCCAGAAGGGGAAGGAGGGATGAGCTAGAAGCCTGACTTAATAGACCGAGAGTGGTATGCAAGCCACTCAGTTCTTCCCCAATGCCGTTCATGACTACGGTCCTCACACATATATTAAGGCTGTCCTCGGGCCAGGTGCTCATGCCTGTAATCCCAGCACTTTGGGAGGCCGAGGCAGGTGCATCACTGGAGGCCAGGAGTTCGAGATCAGCCTTGGCAACATGGTGAAACCCTGTCTCTACTAAAAATAGAAAAAAATTATCTGAGCGTAGTGGTGGGCGCCTGTAATCCCAGCTACTCTGGAGGCCGAGGTGAGAGAATTGCTTGAATCCAGGAGGCGGAGGCTGCAGTGAGCCAAGATAGCCCCAATGCACTCCAGCCTGGGGAACAGAGGGAGACTCTGTCTGAAAAGATGAAAAAAAAGCCATCCTCCATCCAAGGCTGTGGGTGGCTAAGGCACAGGCAGGCCCTCGAGGGGCTCCTGGGCCAAAGAAGACGTAGGGAAGAACAGGGAGAGAGGGCTCATGGCAGCAGATCCTCTGCCCAATGAGGGAGGCAGGCAGGTGGCCTGGATTCAGAGATCTCTGCAGGCCAAGGGCTCAGAGGCAGTGAGGGGCGGAGGAGAGAGAATGCCCACGCAAACCAGGTCAGGGCCTCAAGAGGAAATGGCTTTGCGGGGCCAGAGAAAGGCCTGGCTGGAGCAGGGGAGTCAGGTGGGGGAGGGGATGACTGCTGGGACCACACTGTGGGTGCCCTGAAGGTCAGGGGCAGGGGTCCCATTGTACTCTGTAAGAGGCCCCAGAGCCTTGTGAGTGCCTGTGGGCCATCTAAGATGCCCACTCCAGGAGACTGTGGGGGCAGAAAGCATTATCTGACCTGGTGAGGAAGCATATTCTTAAGGCTCTCAGATGATGGCCAGTTAGCTCCATAGGGCTGTCTCCACGGGGGACCTGGCAGGGCTTATCAGTCTCAGCTCCTGCCCAGTGACTAATGTCTTTGGCCAAACCCGTGGTGAAGATGCATCGCTCTTCCTGTGCGGTAGGCTGGGCCTTCTCTGGGCCAAAGAGGCTGCTCTGGCCCTTGCAGAGACTCTTTGCAAGAGATTCTCCCGCAGAGCCCCAAGGCTCCCCACACTCTCTGGACCTGCAGAAGCCCTGATAGATGAATGGAATCTTTAGGGTTTCCTTTCTCCTGAGGGGCCCTCTGGATACCTGAGCAGGGCTCAGGGCAGAAGATGCCCACTGCAGTCATGAAGGGCAGGTCAGGGACCCTGAGAGCAACAGGCTCAACTCCTGCTCTTTAACCAGCAAGTCTTCCTGAGCACCCAGCTTTCTGAAAAGGCTCCTACACAAAGGTACCCACTAAGCAGCTGTGAATGACGGTAGTTACATTCTAGGAGGCCCTCTGAGCTCTCTCAGTGCTGCCCTGAATCTGGGAGGTAGGAAGCCCCCATCCAAACCATTTAAAGTTTAAAACATGACTGGCTTTGCTAAGCACTGTAACATTTTATATGATCAAATGAAAAAATTTCTTGTCCCTTTAAGAAACCAGATTTTAGGCCAGGTGCAGTGGCTCACATCTGTAATCCCAGCATTTTGGGAGGCCGAGGCGGGTGGATCAGTTGAGGTCAGGAGTTTGAGGCCAGCATGGGCAACATGATGAAAAAATACAAAAAATACAAAAATTAGGCTGGGCACGGTGGTGCAGGGTGGCTCACGCCTGTAACCCCAGCACTTTGGGAGGCTGCACTCCAGCCTGGGAGACAGAGTGAGACCCTGGCTCAACAAACAAACAAACAAACAAACAAACAAACAAACAAAAAACTAGCCAGGCATGGTGGTGCACACGTGTAGCCCCAGCTACTCAGGAGGTTGTACCACTGCATTCCAGCCTGAGTGACAGAGCCAGACCCTGTCTGAAAAAAAAAAACAAGCCAGAATAAAGCATAAATAGTTATATCTATAGATTGTACTTTTTTATTCCTGCAGGGCCTAACAAATCACAAATCATACCCTAAAGTAGATAATTAGGAAACAGCTCATATTTTCTTATAGGAATAATAATTGGTGTCTGAATTTTCTATCAAGTATCTTGCATCATATAAATTATAACCAATAATGTGTTACAAAAGCAAAATTATAGTCATCATAAATTTCTATAAATATTAAAATATTAAAATTATGCTCCAAATCCTATAAAGTAGCACCCATTTACAATATGCACTGATTAAAAAGGGATTAAAAAGGGATTCAGACTATTATCATAACACAAAAAGTACATTTCTACTTAAATAAATAGAATTAATTTAAATAATTAAAATACATTTGACAAAGTAAGCTAGATATAAAAACTTAAATTATTCAATGATACTTATTCCAGTCTATTTGAATTTGTGTGGGTTTGGGCGCTGTAATTTGGGTGGGTTGAAGCACTTATTATCTTTTTTGTTCTTTCAGTAAATTTGCTTGTAGCAAGCAGGGGTGTTTCAAAAGATTCTTGACCTTGGAACCAAGCCCACATTATTATAGTGGAGTCTTGGTAATTGTTTCTTTTATTGTATTGCTGATGATGAAAAGGAGGTTGATTCTTCTCAAAACAAGCTTTTTTTTTTTTTTTTAAATGAAGTCTTGCTCTTGTTGCCCACGCTGGAGTGCAGTTGTGCGATCTCAGCTCACTGCAACCTCCGCCTCCTGGGTTCAAGCGATTCTCCTGCCTCAGCCTCTGGAGTAGCTGGGATTACAGGCACGAGCCACCATGCCCAGCTAATTTTTGTATTTTTAGTAGAGACAGGATTTTACCATGTTGGCCAGGCTGAACTCCTGACCTCAGGTAATCTGCCTGACTCCGCCTCCCAAAGTGCTGGGATTACAGGTGCGAGCCACCATGCCCAGCCAAAACAAGCATTTTTTAAGAGTAAGAGCTGATCTAGCATTTCTCTCTTAATCTTTACCCTCCATATTTATTTACATAATGTAAATATGTAAATATTGTAAGAGCTGCTGCCGCCTGGCACCCACCAAGGCTATGGGACAGAATACAATGACCATCCCCATGCCGTGGTGCGTACTGCCCTCCACAGAGGCCACCTTCGCCCACGCCCCTATCGATGGCACTCCACTCGCATTGGCTAAGCCCTGCACCCCCCAACTCTGTTTAGGTTGTGAACATAACGGGATGGGAGTGGGAGTTTTCCAGTGGTTGGCAACCAGAACTGAAAGCTAAGGACATGGATGAGACAAGCACCTTATTATCTAAGACAGCCATCTTCGGTGGGGCCAGTCGCTTCCCTCCACTGCTCCTGCACCATCTTAGAAGAGGCGAATCCCCATCCCCCAGGTCTAGAAAGCGGGACCCTCGGAGGGAGACTGAGGGGTTGGCAGGATGGAGAGTCCTGGCATTCCCTCCCCTCCTCTTTCCTGAGTTGAGTGGGGCTTCCATACCCTCTCCTCACCAGTCCACCCTGAAGACAAGGAGGGCATACTTCAAGAGGTTCACTTGTGGAGAACAGAGCTGAGAGCAGTGGGCACCTTGCCTGGACTGTGGGCTATGGACCTGCCTCTGAGCCACAGGGAGCAGAAAGGCTGTGTGGGCTTCCTCTGGGCCTCAGATACTGTAGAAGGTGGCCAGGCATAAGTTGCCTTGTGCAGGTCCTTGTTCACAGAGGCATTGCCAGTGCTGCAAGCTGGGAGGGATGCATGCTTGGGTATGGAGAAGAATCCCCTCGCCTTTTGTCCTAGTCCTCCTACCCCAACCCAAGCTGAGCTGGGGATCAGGAGGGAAGGAGATGAAGTCTTAAACTGGATGGAACTTTAATACCCAAAAGTGAAGAGAAAGCATCGTCTTCTCCCCCAATTTTTTTTTTTTTTTTTTTGAGATGGAGTCTTGCTCTGTCGCCGGACAGGCTGGAGTGCAGTGGCATGATCCTAGCTCACTGCAACCTCTGCCTCCTGGGTTCAAGTGATTCTCCTGCCTCAGCCTCCCAAGTAGCTGGGATTACAGGCACACACCACCATGCCCGGCTAATTTTTTGTATTTTCAGTAGAGACAGGGTTTTACCACGTTGGCCAGGCTGGTCTTGAACTCCTGATCTCAAGTGATCCACCCACCTCGGCCTCCCAAAGGGCTGGGATTACAGGTGTGAACCACTGCACCTGGCCCCAAAAATGTTAATAGGAGAGAGAAAGAAGCTGCAAGCAGTTATTGGGATAAAACAGAAACCCTTCCATAATTGGGTCCCACTGAATTCAGACCGTTCATCAAACCATTTCCTTTAGATTGGGATTGCATGGGGAAAAAGCAGTGTCAGAAATAGAAGAGCTGGAGAAAGGAGATCTGGAGGAAGGGTGTGGGAAGGAAAGGGGGAGAAAGTGCAGAAGAAAAAGGGAAAGGGGAAGGAAAGGAGGAGAAACCCACAGAAGGAGGGATGTACAGACAAGGGGCACACGGGAGCCAACAAGAAGAGGGAGAGGTGAACAAAAGAAACAGAAAGGACCCCTACATTCTAGGATAAGTCACAGGCCACGTTCTGCAGCTCCCCACTGGGCTTTAGAGTAAGAGATCAATGTCCTTTGAAATTCCGAATAACCACGGTTCACAGTTCTATATGTGCTCTTCACTCTTATACTTCAGAAGATCTCACTCCATATCAAGCGGTCATAAAATCCCAATAGGATGGCAATTATCTGATGGGCTCAGAGAAGGTAAGAAAAGCACAATGATCCTATGGGCACAATGAAATCAAACCTAGCTCAGATTTGTTTCCTGGGCCCTCTATGACGTCTTCCTAAAGATGTACACATCCCTGCAATGTGCTGCTGAAACGCCTTACTTGGCCAGCAGGCTCATGAGGTAGGTTGAGGTGTTGGTGTCCAGTCTCAGGGGAGGCACCGTGACATAGGCAGCCGCGTGGGACCAGTCCTGGTGGTAGTAGTGTAAGCCTGTCAGCGTGGCATGTGCAGTGGTGGTCTCCGCCAGCACAACCTTCCCTGGAAGAAGAAAGGTCAGAACCATAACCAGGAAGCCACCGAACCTGAGCGATCGCTGGTGTGTGCCTCTCATTTTACAGGTGAAGGAGCTGAGGTCAGAGACAGGAAGGGACCTGCCCAAGCTCACAGGGCTTTTAAGAGCACAGCTGGGTTCAAGCCCAGAGAGCCTCCCTATTCTGCTGACTTAGGCAAGGAGGACAGAGGGACATGGGCACCGAGGCCCAGCAGGACCAAGCGGCACTTTGAGGAGTCTGGTTTGGCCAGATGACCAGAGCACTGGTGTGTGCAGGGTGCTGTTGGCAGATGGAGCTTGACGGTGGGTGAACAGGCATGCAGGGCCACGAATGCCACGCTAAAGAGCAGTCTAGACTGTTTTCTGGACAGGCAGTTGCTGTGAGCAGCTTCAAGAGAACGGTTGTGGTAGGACAGGGAGGGCCGTAGCAGGGCTGGAGGACAGGGAGACAGGAGGTGGGAGCAGTCACCAGGCTGGGACGACAGTCTAGGCGAGACCCTCCAAGGGGCTTCAGTGAGGGGAGAGGCAGGTGGCGGGATCTAGAGGGCGATAGAGTTGAAGGCCAGGATGCCCTTGCTTCTGATCGATTATAGTTGAAGGCTGAGATGCCCTTGCTTCTGATCTGTCTCCCCAGGCTTGTGACTGTGACTTTGTTTCTCCTGCTGCCAGGCCCTCACCAGCACCTGGGGCGGGGCTGGACTCCAAGCATCTGCAAGCCTTTAGGTACTGCCAGGCGATCCGCAACAGAAGCCATACAAGTGCCCCTCGGACTCATACACAGGGTTCCAGGAGGCTAAAAGGAAGCTGGGCCCACACACTGTTCTTTCTTTAGGGACTTCCCAAACAGCCCCTGAAATGCCCACTGAAACTGGTCCAGCATTTTATGTTAGTTGCCAAGGCAACTGCTAGTAAAATCTATGAGGCCAAAAAGACACTAATTAATGAGTGGGTTTAAAACTTGGAAAATGTTACCAGACCCAGGAGAAGTGACAGACACTTCCGTAAAGCTGTTATGCATACAAATTTGCAGAAGAAAAAGCTCATGTTCTAGCAGACTAAAGCCAGCATAGCACAGGGCAGCTCTGAGGAAGACGGTGGCAGATGAAAGGGAAGGGCTGGCTCAGGTCCTGGTTTCAGGAGCCGGGGCCAGGAGTGAGCACGGCTAATGGGCCCCATCCATCTCCAGTCCCTCCACTTGACCTGCTCTGTCCAGCCAAGTCTATGGACTCACCTTGCATCTTAGCAGCTGCGATAACGTCACCAGCCGAGATACTGGACACGTTGACCAGGTAGATTGGACAGTGAGTCTAAACACAAGAAACAGTGGGAAGTAGGGAGGGTTGACCCATAAACTTCACAAGCATCAGAATAACCCTGGCAAAGTCAGCCCTGGCACCAGCGCCTCCCCCTGCGTCACTCAACCCCACCCTCAAGGTGACAGTCCTTAAGCGGAGAATGCAGGGCTGGCAGTCAGGGCAAGGTTGCAGGAACTGCATGATACGGGGAGGCAGAGAACAGCCTCCAGCACCAGAGCCCACCGGGAAGCCCAGCCTGTGAAGTTCAAGACCGTCAAGTCTGAACCTCGCATTTTCTCCCATCTGACAACCATGACTGTAATTTAAAAGGGGGGAACTCTTTTTCCTATTTTAATTTCCTGTTCATAAACGTGATGACCTAGAGTTAGTCGTGTATTCTGTATCTAAAATTACGATGCCTGCTGTCTGAAGGCTGCTTATCAGTAGACAGAATGCACCCTGGAGATGAACAAAATACAAGGGGGTTAGGGTTCAGAGTCTAGGCAAGAGAAGGCTGACCTTGCGAACGGACACCTGGACTGTAATACTGGTTAGCTTTTTCTCTACTAAGCTGTGCAACCACGGTCCATGGCTTAACTCCTCTGAGCATATGCTTGAGCTAAAAGGCAAGGAACTGACTTTTTGTTGTTTGGGTCTTTCCTTATTCTGGGTTAAGTTCCACCAGGAAGTAATTGATAAATAACTATTGTCATGACAGTGAAACAATGTCCTTGTCCAGCGGCCAGAGCTCTAAAGTGCAATTGGGAAATTCTGTTTCCCCAGATGTTATTCTGTTCTCTTTGCTTATCACATTAGGAGGATGTAGAGTTTAGGAGCTGGACTGAGTTTACACGTGAGCAATGAACTGAGCTTCAGCAGGCTCGGCGGGGTGGAATGGAAAGCTGGTGGTGAGAAGGGTGAATGCAAGGATGGTGGGCATGACAGCGCTCAGTCAGCAAACAGCTCTGGGTTCCTGTGGGCAAGACATGGTGCTGGCACCCAGAGCAGAATGGGGCTGCATCGTAGAGGTTGGTTTTCTTTCTTTCTTTCTTTCTTTCTTTTCTTTCTTTCTTTCTTTCTTTCTTTCTTTCTTTCTTTCTTTCTTTCTTTCTTTCTTTCTTTCTTTCTTTCTCTTTCTTTCTTTCTCTTTCTTTTTTCTTTTCTTTCTTTCTCTTTCTTTTTTCTTTTCTTTCTTTCTTTCTTTCTTTCTTTCTTTCTTTCCTTTCTTTCTTTTCTTTTCTTTCTTTTTTTTTTTTTTTTTTTGACAGAGTCTCGCTCAGTCACCCAGGACAGATTGCAGTTGGCACGATCTTGGCTCACTGCAACCTCCGCCTCCTGGGTTCAAGCAATTCTCCTGCCTCAGCCTCCTGAGTAGCTGGGATTACAGGTGCACGCCACCACGCCCAGCTAATTTTTGTATTTTTAGTAGCAATGGGGTTTCACCATGTTGGCCAGGCTGGTCTCAAACTCTTAACCTCAGGTGATCCACGCACCTCGGCCTCCCAAAGTGCTGGGATTACAGACATCAGCACCGTGCCTGGCCAAGGTTGGTTTCTAATCCCACAGTGGACATCGGGGGACTTACCCTGTTTGCAATGGTGATAACACGATGAGTGGCTTCAGCTTCCAGCTGTTAGAAACAAAGGACAGGAGGAAACCAAACTTCACCATCTCCTCCAAGGATACCCACACCATACTCTCCCCTTCATGGAGCAACTGCACCCATAGGGGTTGGCTCGGGGCAAAGCCCGGGCAGAGGCACTAACCTCCAACTACCTTGGCTCACAGTGAGGGAGAATTCTAGGTCTTACAATACCAGGCACGCCCTTGCTGGATGCTACTTGGGGCTTAATTAAAAGGCAAGGAAACAAAAGTAAATAAAAACCCAAGGTCATGTCTCTCCTTGTTTTCTGGTGTATTCTCTCCATAGCCACCTCAGAACTGCAGCAAAGGAGAAATAGTGGCTGATTTGACTCCGGAAATTAGCCTAGATTAGGGTTTCTGCGCATGGTACTATTGGCATTTGAGTTGTATAATTCATATATATATATATATATATATATATACACACACACACACACACACACACACACACACACATATATATATATATATATTTTTTTTTTTTTTTTAGATAGGGTCTCACTCTGTCTCCCAGGCTGGAGTGCAGTGGCATGATCATGGCCCACTGCAGCCTCCACCTCTAGGGCTCAAGCGATCCTCCCACCTCAGACTCCTGAGCAGCTGGGACTACAGGCATGCGCTACCATGCTTGGCTAATTTTTTTTTTTTTTCCCAGACGGAGTCTTGCTCTGTCGCCCAGGCTGGAGTGCAGTGGCGCAATCTTGGCTCACTGCAAGCTCCGCCTCCTGGGTTCACACCATTCTCCTGCCCCAGCCTCCCGCGTAGCTGGGACTACAGGCGCCCACCACCATGCCCGACTAATTTTTTGTATTTTTAGTAGAGACAGGATTTCACCATGTTAGCCAGGATGGTCTCGATCTCCTGACCTCGTGATCTGCCTGCCTTGGCCTCCCAAAGTGCTGGGATTACAGGTGTGAGCCACCATGCCCGGCCCATGCTTGGCTAATTTTTAAAAAGTTTTTGCAGAGATGGAGGGGGTCTCCCTTTATTGCCCAGGCTGGTCATAAACTCCTGGGCTCAAGCAATCCTCCTGCCGCAGCCTCCCAGTGCTGGGATTACAGGTGTGAGCCACTGCACCCAGCCGAGTTGCGTAATTCTTTATGGTGGGGGTGTCTGCGCATTGTGGGATGTTTAGCAGTATCACTGGCTTCTGCTCGCTAGATGCCTGTAGCATCCGCCCTGCCCCCCAGGTTGGGACAAGCAAAAATATCTCTAGATATTGTCAAATTTCCCCTGGGGAGCAACATCTCCCCTGGCATAGACCCAGGGCCCTCCCACCTTTAACCAATAGATAATGGCGGTGATAATTATTGGTATTACGACCACAGCCAAAGCCTTGCTCTTTCCCTTGTATTAAGTAACAAAGAAAGTCTAGTGTGTGTGTCCACCCCTTGCTCTCTCCTGTTCTCACAGGCATACCCTCTGTGTTTCAGTCGAATCTGGTGTGTGTTTCTCTACCAATTCAGAAGTGCCAAACAGGACCTATATTCAAGGGCTCTGAAACACAGGCACTGATCAGGGCAGTGAGGGGGCACTCCTCAGCGGACCCACTCGTGGGCCAACTTGGTTTCTGGGTAATGGCAGTGCCACCACATCCTGTGTCCTGCTCCTTGTCCCTCGAGGCCTCCCCCTCAATCCCTCATGGATAACCAACCACCCATCTGCATTTTTAGGCTTTGAAGAAATGAGAAGTTTCTCCCCCTCTTCTAAAACAGTAGAGAATGTGTAAACAGGGTAATAGGGCAGGAATGCGTTATTCGTCTAATGTGGTCCCTCTAGAGCAGAATTCTTTAGCAGGGGGACTGTAGGGGATTTGTGTCAATGCCATGCAAAACTGTGCACAGGGATAAAGCCAGAGGGCAGGCGGAAAACAGCTTTGAATGACCATCTCAGCAGGTAATGAGGGGGAGGAGCATAGACTTGTATGTGTCTCCTGTTTTTGGTGGAAAGGGTCCAAAGCGGCAGTCCCCAACCATTTTGGCACCAGGGACCGGTTTCGTGGAACACGATTTTTCCACAGACCAGGACAGGGATGGGGCAGTGGTGGTGGGAAATGGGGAGGGATGGTTTCAGGATGAAACTGTTCCACCTCAGGACTGGGCACGGTGGCTCACGCCTGTAATCCCAGCACTTTGGGAGGCTGAGGTGGGTGGATCACTTGAGGTCAGGAGTTCGAAACCAGCCTGACCAGCATGGTGAAACCCCGTCTCTACTAAACATACAAAATTAGCTGGGTGTGGCGGTGCATGCCTGTAATTCCAACTACTTGGGAGGCTGAGGCAGGAGAATGGCTTGAACCCGGGATGCAGAGGTTGCAGTGAGCCGAGATTGCGCCATTGCACTACAGCCTGGGCAACAAGAGCGAGACTCCATCTCAAAATAAATAAAATAAAATAAAGAAAGAAACTGTTCCACCTCAGATCATCAGGCATTAGTTAGATTCTCATAAGGAGCGTGCAACCTAGATCCCTCGCATGTGCAGTTCACAATAGGCTTCACACTTCTATGAGAATCTAAGGCCACCACTGATCAGACAGGAGGTGGAGCCCAGGGGGCTCTCAGCTGGCCCGCTGCTCACCTCCTGCTCTGCGGTCCTGTACCGGTTCATGACCTGGGGGTTGGTGACCCCTGGTCCAAAGTATTCCTCAGATGCTCAAAGGAATGTCATCCCCCAAAGGCAGAGTTTATAGTTTGAAATTTCTTCTAACACCTGAAGGCCTTTTCAGTCTGTCTTTTGTCTCTTGATTCAGTTTTGGGCACAGCAACCCCAGGTGTGCTGACATTGTCTCCCCTAGATCCTTGAAATCAGAATCAAATGGAAATTTCACCCGTGGAGAAAATGATGCTATACACACACACACACACGCACACACGTATGTGTGTGCGTGTGTGTGCGTATATATATGTATGTGTGTGTGTGTATATATATATATATATACTCTATCACCTTGGCTGGATTGCAGTGGCATCATCACGGCTCACTGCAGCCTCAACCTCCTGGGCTCAGGTGATCCTCCTGCCTCAGCCTCCCAAGTAGTTAGCTGGGACTACAGGCATGCACCACTATGCCCAGCTAATTTTTTTTGTATTTTTAGTAGAGACGGAGTTTCACCATGTTGCCCAGGCTGGTCTTAAATTCCTGGGTTCAAGCCATCCACCCACCTCAGCCTCCCAAATGTTGGGATTACAGACATGAGCCCTTGTGCCTGGCTAATTTGTATGTTTGATGTCTCCTCCATCCTGGAAGATTCTGTCAATCTACATGAGAGACGCTGACAAAGGCTACAGGAAGTGTTTCTCACCTCCTCTGGACGGCTGATCTCGATTCCTTCTGGGCCTGTGATCCCCAAATCCAGTGCCTCCTTAGCACCCTGGATAACAGCAAGAGAAAGAAAATGGAGAGAATCACAGAGACACCGTGTAAGAAAATACTGAACCCAAGGGACAGTGAAATATGCTAGACACCGCCTGTTTCAATAGGCTTGCTTCTTTTCTCACTTCTGCAGTGTTCGTCTTCTAAAGAAGGCAGAGCATGCACAGGCCGCCCATGCAGTGGGGCTCTCCTGATTCTCACTTCATAATGACTGAACATATCTTGTTCTCTTAAAAATACAGTTAAGTATTATAACTAGCAACAGGCCTGGGACACCAAAGACAAGCACTCTTTACTGATTTCAAACTCAGAATTCCCTCTCTGGAAATCGAGACTAAGCTCTAGCTTCCAGCAACTGCTAGGCTAGCCCTTACCCCAAGACCTAGGAGAATGCACCAGAGGCTTATCCTTCCTGGTGCCATGAATAGATCTCTTTAATGTCTCAGATCCTCTGAAGAGGCCAAATGGGAAGCGGATTCTTATTTATTCTGTATATCAAATCTCATTAAAAATATGTCTGAGAGGTGCTCCAAATTCTCTGCTATAATGGAATTTAAATCTCATATCATTAGAATTAAGACATCATCACCTACGACTTAGAAGCCTTTTTGAACCATAAAAAGAGATTTGTTTTTTACAGACAGTAGTAAAGTTTGGATTTTCTGACCAAGATCTGACAGCTGGGGTGTCCACACCTCACACTTTAACAACTGATTTTGTCTGAATCCTGTGGGATCAGTGACGGGTGGTCAGGAATCCCCTGAGAACTAACTGTCTCCACTGGTGTCCCTCCATCCAATATTCTTGGCTGCAGACTTGCCTCGGCCACAAGCTCCCCATTTTCAGCATGGACGCGGGCGATTGCCCCAATGTCCTTGCAAGCGTGCAACACTTGGTACAGCTCACTGTCTCGAAGCATGTACAGGTCCTTGTAGGTCATGAACATCTGGAACGAGTTGACACCCTTCTCCCTCACCAGTGTCTCCATTTCTGCTTTCACCTGGAGAACAAGTAGAAGGGCAATGCTGCGTGAGGGCAGACACCCAAGAGGCCGACTGGCAGGCACCGGCCCAGCATGGGGGAGATGTGGGGCCTGCCCCAGCTCAGTCTGTCGGTTGACCCCCCACACCTCTCTATCTCACTTTCCTCCCACCCCACAGGCTGCTGTGAGGCCACCTGAGTAGATGGATGCGGAAGTACTGTGAAAATTGTCAACACGACACAGTTTAGGAGCCACATTGTTACCTTATAGGCACGTTTCTCCTATCACTTAGGCCTGTCCCCTATGTCTGTCTCCAAACCAGCCTTAATGGTAAACATAGGAATAATGATTTTAATTTCTGTGGGCTGTTGCCTGGCATTACAAAGAAGGCATACTAATGCTAAAAATCCAGAGGTCCTGGGAAAACCAAATTTAGGAACAAAGCTAAACATGAACAAAGTTATGAGAGTTAGGATATTCCTAACATTATTTGTACTAGGAAAAACATGGAAGCAACATTGGCCTGATAACAGGAAAATAAGTTCAGGTTCATCCACTTGGTAGAATATTAAGTGGCCATTATATTGCTGGTTCATGAACTTCATGGCAAAATAGAAAATGCTCACACCTATGCAAAATAGCTACTCTGTGAAAGCATGGATGAAAAAAGATGGGAAAGAAAGAAGTTTAACAGCAGGGATGGTGCTGGGGGTTACTGGATTATGTACTTCCTTTCTTTTCTATTTTTCACATCTATAATTAGAAACATTTATTTGATTATTATAAAACAGAATTTTAAATTCCTGATGCATGAAAGTCACCATAAGCTCCAGGAAATTAGGGAGGGTTGGCCTGGCTTCTGTGCTGCTGGGAACCTGAGAAGACCCTCTATTCTAGGCCAGCTCCAGGGGAAGTAGAGAGTGGCTCAGAGGTAGAGGCCTCTCACCCAGGAGAGTGTCCAAAAAGGAGACCCCCATTTGAGATAAGGAATGGCTGACATTCAGCGTGATCTGCACCTCTGGCCCAGAACCGGGAGGAGGTCTTCTATAAGTGCCAGGTCAGAAATAATGAAGAAACCGGGTGAGCCCCCAGCTCAAGGCTAAGACCCGAGGGCAGAAATATAGTGAGGCTTTAGGTTATCATCTGAGAAGGGTGTTAGGCCCTTTATACCAGGGCCTGCAACTGAAGAACTTCATAAAACTTCTTTTTTCTTTTTATGATTAAGAACAGAGTTTATTCGAGCTCAAAGCTTGAGGATGTCCACCTGGGAGCACAGATTCAAGCTGCCCTGAATATACACTCTGATTAGCAGCAGTTACAAGTGGGTTTTTGACGGAAAATGAAGAGGCAGTTCCTGAGTTGGTAAAACTAATAATGCTTATTATTTTTATGATTCTGGGGCACCCACCAAAGTACTGGTACATGGGGCTTAATAAATAATTGATGAAAGAATGAATATCCAGACTGCTACCCTGGGCAAAAAAGCAGAAAAACCCCAGAAACAAAGCCAAATCGAAATGCCTGTAGATTAGGAAGAGCAAGGAAGTGGGAATCCGGGGAGAGGAGTCTGGACTCTGACCCTGGGGCCTGGGCAGGGGGAGGACAGGAAAGCCAGAGGCCAGGGGCACAGACACAAAGGAGGCACAGAGGCTGAACTGAGAAAGGCTCAGGGGGTGCCAGCCTCAGTCACAGACCAGGACAGCCTCGATGCTTCTCAGAGCAGAAGCTGGGCCCCCAGTAGGAAAAAAGCATACCACATTCCTTTCATTCCAGACAGTACTGAGGCAGGATGGGAGCCTCAGTTCGGAGACCTCAGCGCAGTGTGGTGGACTCTCAGTACACATAGGATATGGGATATGACCCTCTGCACCTGAGCCCTGCTCAGGCCTCTTCTCAGCAGCACTGCCCATGACCTGTCAGTGGTGCCCTACATTCACACGAGACGGTAAGAGCCTCATGGTCAGAGCAATGAAACTGCATCCCCAAGGCCTGGGCTCTGGCCTTGGCCTCTCTGTGCCTGCCGGAAAATGGCTCATTAAGTTAAGCAGCACAAGCCCATCCGCTCCCCTTATGGAATCCCAAGTGTGTTTTCTTTTGGCATTGTGGGGAGCTAGGATGGTAGTGGGAGGGGTGCCCCACACAAGCAGGAGGCACTGCACCCCAACCAGCCCCTCTGCCTACAAGACCACTTGTGCCTTCTTCTGGGATCCCACCAGCACTGTTACCTTGGGTGCCCACCAGGTGATCCCCACGTGGAGGGCGTAATCACAGCAGACCTTGGGGTCGGCCAGACCTCGGCACTTCTCATAAGCGTCCACAAGGGAGGTCTCCTTGTCGGGCAGGACGTGGCCGATGATCATGGTGGTGCCTCCGACGAGTGCTGCCTGGGAAGACGGGAAAAGGCAGTCTCGTCACAGCCCTGCCTGCCCCCGAGTCAATGATGTGGTGAGACATGGTCCTCATGGTCCATTCAAAGACAGGCCCTGCCTCACAAGAGGCTGTGAGGACCAAGGGCAGCGAGGTTTGGGAAACTGTAAAGAGCCATGTGGAGGTGCGAGAGCCAGCGCGACCTTCATCATGACCACGGGTCCCCAAACCTGCTTCTTCCTCCGCCAGGGTTTCAGCTTGGCGCGCTGGAAAAACCACATCGTGGGTCACCCGACCTAAGGCCTATCTTCCCAATGAGGAGATTCTCTCCCCAAACGATTTTTAGCCAATTGACTCTATAGATAACATGATCAAATGTCTGCATGTAATATATAACATAATATAGTGTTGTATCATATAATAACATAATATTGATGGCATAATCAAATGTCTGTTTATATCATTTACTTAGTTACACACGTATATTTGAACCACGATATAGAAAATGTTAATTTGGATATATTGTTTTGTTTTATGCTCTCAAATTTCATGAAGCAATTTTGTTCAAACATTTTGCACGCATCTTCAACCTCAGGGTCTTTGTCTTCAGTTTTTCTAAGCATAGGGGCTTCATTTTCATCTATCTTGTTTGAGACAGGCATTTTTTAGATGCATGTGTGATTTATCAGTGAAAACGGATCCTATTCACAACTCCGCAAGATACCACTTTAAAAAGAAATTGTTAAAAAGCCTCACTCGCAATCATAGAGTGAACCCCCAGGAAAAATGACTAAATCTGTATTAGAGATTCCCCCACTCAACTTTTTAAAAGTGAATTTCATCAGGGGACTTCTGTGAAGTTCCAAAACTAGCATCGATCAAAGGCTATTTCAGGCTAATGTGTTGTTCCCAAACAAAACTTAAAATAGAATTAAAATAAGTGAGAGTGGGTGCAGTGGCTCACACCTGTAATCCTAGTACTTTGGGAGGCTGAGGTGGGTGGATCACTTGAGGTCAAGAGTTCAAGATGAGCCTGGCCAACATGGTGAAGCCCCGTCTCTACAAAAATACAGAAATTAGCTGGGTGTGATGGTGGGTGCCTGTAATCACAACTACTTGGGAGGCTGAGGCAGGAGAATTGCTTGAACCTGGGAGGTGGAGGTCGCAGTGAGCCAAGAATGCGGCATTGCACTCCAGCCTGGGCAACAAGGGTGAAACTGTCTCAAAATAAATAAATTAATTAAATTAAATAATTGAGAGTCCCATAACATGAGAGTCTTTGTGAGGGCTCTAAGACAAAGTGACTCTTTTTCTGGTGAGAAATGGTTTGAGTCCTTACAGTGCTTCACGGCTCCACGTTCAAGTCCCTGCTCTGCTCCCTCATGGTTGGAATAACCTCTGCCAGGTTACTTAACTTCTCTGGATGCAAAGTCTTTACCTACACAATAGGGTGGCTTCCTTGTTGGGTAGTTGTGAAGGTTAAGTAAAACATTGCTTATGGAACAGATGTGGTAAAAGTGTTGTCCTAACATGTGTGTTTAGTTACTCAGAACTTAGGTTTTTGTTTTTGTTTGAGACTGGGTCTCACTCTGTTGCCCAGGCTGGAGTACAGTGGTGCAATCATAGCACACTGCAGCCTCAAACTCCTGGGCTCAAGTGATCCTCCCACCTTGGCCTCGCAAAGTGCTGGGACTGCAGGCATGAACCACTGCACCCAGCCAGAATTTAGGTGTTTATCTGTTTTCTGTAGGGGAGAAAAAGAGCTCCATGAAATTGTCTTAATGGTTTCATGCTTCTCTATTCAGTTAAATCCTTGATCACAAATGAAAAATATTGCTGGGGAATAAGGGACTGAAAAAAAATTAGCTCAGTGGCCCAACAGCAATTAAAATGAAAACTCTCACAACCTTGATGTTCCATGACGCAGGCTGGGCCAGCGAGAATGTTCCCAGTCGTCCTGGGGAACTCAGTGGTTTGACTGCTTGCACAGCTTAAAGCAACCAACAGAGGGTGGTAGTTCTGTGGCACCTGCAGGAGCTGTGATGGGGGCGGCAGAGGAACCGGGAGAAGGAGAGCAGTGCAGATTGTAGCTTTACTAGCAGGCTTCTATTTCCGATTTTGCTGGATCGTGCCAGGCTGATTCATCCTCACAGCAGGTGGTTGTACTCTATTTTGTCCTGAAATGCATCTCTTGCTTTTACATGTGCACGTGGGGGTGTATATTGAGCTTTACACACTAAATTGTTTCATTTTTCTGTGGCTCTAGATTGCTTTCCTTTGCACTCCCACAGTACCTCTGCAGGCTTGGATAGGAAAAGAGGAACCTGGAAACAGCACAGTGAGATAAAAGAGCCAGGACCAGTCCTCATACTGTGGGTCCCAGGGCAAGAGGAGAAAAGGAGGATCATGTGCTGATTCTCTAAACACTCAAAAGTTAGATCAAGCTAAAAAACCATTACACAGAATATACTCTATCCTCCTACTCTGTCAAATACATCTTCATAAAGGCCAAAAGGGCCTGGCCCTTAGAATCCTCAAGTTCCTTAAAATTCTGAGCTACACTTCAGGGATAGTTGGCCTCAGCCTCTGTGCCTGCCCCCAGCCCACACGCGCCTATCCTGAATTGATCCTGCAGCCTGCAGACCTAAGCTCTGTCCACCTTCTGCAAAAATGCTGTCCTTGAGCCTGGTATGCACACATTGGTGGTCTGTCCCCCAGGAGGAGAGATTCGGGGTTTTGTAGGCTCTGGAATGCTCAGGGCTGTTTCTCAGGGAATTCTAGGGACCCAGAGTGTAGTTTAGGAATGGGTGAGTGGGGTCTGGGTAGACACAATCCCCAGACCTATGGGGCAGGGGTACAAGTTGTTGGAGGGCCCGAAGAGGACCCTAAAGTCCAGAGCCCTGGGAAGAGGCCCCTTTTGCCTGGGTCTAAGGACAGGAACTGAAAATAGTTCAGGAAGGAGTTGGAAGCATAGGAGGTGGTCTTGACTTTCCCACGTGTTGGTTGTAATCTAGGAGCAGCCACGTGCCCCCTGACCTGCACCTTACTTCTCAGGGGTCCCCAGAGGGTCAGGTGGCAATGGATGTGAGAGCATCTATGAGCTGGGAGGGGCATGCACATAAGTATCTGGAATAATTATTACCGCTGTTACCCCAAGGCCTCGAAACAAGAGTTTCACTGGATCAGCAAACTCTCCCCCAGCTGCAGGCTCGCAAGCCCACACCACACACTGATGTTCAAGCACTTGTTTCCTCTTAGGCAAGACATACATAGAGTTGGCTTTTTGAATATGTACCATTCCAACCCACAGGATGAATGCTGACAAGCTCTGTTTTCACAGGAAAGTGGTATCACAGATGTGACAGACCTTTTTAGTGTCATCCCCCACAAAACAGCCTTGTAGAAATCGGCAGCAAGGCACAGCCCAATTGTGTTCCCGAGGCTTTCAAAAGGATGATGTTTAAGAACATGTGATTGCTGAATGCTCATGACTTTTTACACAAAAAATGGTGTTGGTTAAGTACGCTGCAGAAGATCTTTAATGGAAGCCAATAAAAATGATGTTCACTAGAGACGGGGTTTCACCATGTTGGTCAGGCTGGTCTCGAACTCCTGACCTCAGGTGATCCACCTCGACCTCCCAAAGTGCTGGGATTACAGGCGTGAGCCACCACGCCAGGCCGAGCTATTCTTTTAAGGTAAGCTTCCTGACAACATGAAATAATTGGGGTTTTTTTTGTTTAGTTACGTTAGGTTTTGCTATATCCCCGGGCCAAATAGCATGTGACACAGGACAGCCATAGTATAGTGTGTTGCTCGTGGTTGGTGTCCTTTCATGCTTCTGCCCTGTCAAAGGTCCCTATTTAAAATGTGTTATAATACAAACAATACAAGGAAGCACATGGTGTACAAAATACTTATGTATTTATGAATTCATGACCAAATTAAATGTGAAACTTTATATTTAAAAAAATGATGTTCACGAAGGCTGTCAAAACACGGAAAAAGTTTTATACTGTAATGAGTGAAAAAGACTTGATTCAAAATGCTTGGAACCATGTTTAAACACACATACTCCCCACACAAGAAATAAAAATGCAAGGAAATAGACCAAAATATTAACAATGGTTTGTTTGTTTGAGACACAGTCTTGCTCTGTGGCCCAGGCTGGAGTGCAGTGGTGCAATCTTGGCTCACTGCAACCTCCGCCTCCCGAGTTCAAGTGATTCTCCTGCCTCAGCCTCCTGAGTAGCTGAGATTACAGGCACCTGCCATAATGCCCGGTTAATTTTGTATTTTCAGTACAGATGGTGTTTCACCATGTTGGCCAGACTGGTCTTGACCTCTTGACCTCAAGTGATCTGCATGCCTCAGTCTCCCAAAATGCTGCGGTTATCGACGTGAGCCACCACGCCTGGCCAACAATGGTTATTTTTGAGTGATGAGATTCTGAGGAATTTATTTTTTCTACTTCTCCAAAATTTAACAGAATATATGAGTTTTATAATGTACACTTCAGAATAAATTTGGAGGAAGTTAAAACTGCAGTATTTAAAATTTTAGCCATTCTTAATGTGTTTAAAATATTTTAAAGTTATGAAATATTTCAAACAGAGTAAAATACAGAAAATAATAAAACATATACCCATATTTCCACTACTCAAACTTAACAGATGTTAACATTTTTGCCATGTTTACCTCAGATGCTTTTTTTTAAAAAAAAAGAAATGAAATATTTCTGATACAACTAAAGCCCTCCATCCTATTCCCATCCCTCTCTTCCCTGAAGATGGCATACATTCCTCTCATCTATGTTTTTATGCTTTTACTATGTAAACACATAACATTTAAAAATTTATACAAAATTTATACAATTAAAAAAATTATACAAATAATATCTATCATACTGTCTATATTCTTTTGCAACTTGCTTTCATGTACTCAATATTATCTTTAAGATTTATTTATGTAGATTTATTTCATTCCTTTTAATTGATTCATTGTATAAACATGCCTCCATGTATGAATGCATTTCCAAGTTCATGGACATTTACAACTTCACACAGTGCTTGAGCATTCTTGAACGCATATGAGCAGAGACCTCATTCTAGGTGGACACTGCCAGGAAGCAGAATTGCAGCTTTGTAGAACATCCTCATCTCCAACTATTCCAGACCTGATCATGGAACAGCCGATCTCACAACAGCCTCCTTGAGCCTGGTGGCTGACCAAAAGTGCCCATTTATCAACCCAAGCCCTTATTTTTAAAAATATAAATGTTTAAAAAAATCTGTCCAGCCAAGCATTTCCCATTGTATAGGTGGAAATTTGTTTTTATCCTGACATCTCTCACTATTAAATTAACAGAGACATTAGGATCATTTGTTTAACCAACAGACACTGCACCATTGTATATTATTTGGAAGAATATGAAACATCATTTTACAATTTCAAAGTGTCGCTATTATTTTGTTTTTGACATTTATAACATACTACTGGGTAAAGCTGGATTTATTTGATGCTCATTTGTTCCCTAAGAAAACTCAGTATATTTAATGGTAATCCATTTTATGACACAGTTTCCAGGCATACACTTGGCAAGGCGCAGGAACCTGTACTAGAACTCAGTCTAAACCTTTTATAAACACCATCTTTATACTTCAGAAGTTCATCAGACCACCGTGGGGCTCATGGGGGTCTCCATATTGACCAGGGTCCTGCTCAGCAAGTTGGAAAGACATTTCAGATACTTGTGGCCCTTCAGATAAGATTTATTTGCTGACATCACGGCATTGGAGAGAACAATGCGTTGGTCACTTCCAGCTTTATCAGGACAAAGACCTTTGAAGATTCACTCTCTTACCATCTTCTACAGGACTGCCCTGCCGCTCCAATATGTTTTGCTGAATTTCCTGTAGCAATTGCTCCCCAGCAACCCTGCCCACAAGATTTGGTTCTCTTGCTTCAAGGCCAAGAACCTGGTCAAGGCACAAACTTTGCGCTCTGCTATTGAGAAGGCACTTGGGCTACAGCCAATTCATGGAATTTTTCATTGAGGAAGGGGAGAGACTTCCTAGAGCATATCTTCATACGAAAATATGCATGGAAAAGGGGTGTATGTTTGAGGAGGTGACTGGAATCAGAAAAGCAGGATCTACTATTACTGGTATGTATATAGATTAAGGCCAACTGAATCTTTATAGAGGGAACAATACTGCACTAAGAATCAAATGACGAGTGGATGTGCTCTGTAAACTGGTAAGCACAGTGCAAACATGTCTGCAGCTCTTAATGCTGCTGGAAAAGCTATCATTTGTTCGGATGGATCTGCCTCTCTTGGGATTGCTGAACCACTTCCTTTTCTTTTCACATTAAAATTATCTTCCATCTTTTATTCACATCCTCCCGAAGTACCAGAGGAAAAAAAAAAAATAACCAGCTCGGTAGTTTCTCTATTGCTCATGGTAACCTCCTTCACCTTCAGCGTTCTGTTGGCTACTTATTGGCCCTCTGGAAAGCAAGCTCTGAACATCACCATGGGATGTGAACAACCCCCAAAAAGGGTCCAAGCATTTCATCAAGTGAGGTGATGCATGTATGGTACCTGGAACCATGCCTGGCACGCAGGAAACACCTTTCCCATTCAAATCACAAGCCCACTGTCCAGGCCCACCCAGCTCCATGGGCATGTCGCCCATGCAGCTGCACAAGGCCCTACATTTAGAAGGGCTCTGCACTTGCTTTTTTTTTTTTTTTTTTTTTTTTTTTGAGACAGACTCTTGCTCTGTCACCCAGGCTGGAGTGCAGTGGCATGATCTCAGCTACTGAAACCTCCGCCTCCCAGGTTCAAGAGATTCTCGTGCCCCAGCCTCCCAAGTAGCTGGAACTACAGGCGTGTGCCATCATGCCTGGCTTATTTTTTGTATTTTTAGTAAAGACGGGATTTCACCATGTTGGCCAGGCTGGTCTCGAACTCCTGACCTCAGGTGATCTGTCTGCCTCGGCCTTTCAAAGTGCTGGGATTACAGGCGTGAGTCACTGAGCCTGGCCATTCCGTGCTTGTTTTAATGTTCTGCTGTCACCATCTGGAAATTCTTAATAATTTTTAAACAAGGAGTCTCATATTTTCCTTTTGCACTAGGCCCTGCAAATTATGTGGCCAGTCCAGCCATCAGCTTATCACCTGCGCTGGCCTGATGTAGGGGGATCAGGCCTTACACTGGGCTTCATTGTCAACTCAGCTAATTCACATGGGTGGGGGGTTGCTGAGGACACCTGACCACTTGGCCCTTTCTCTGATGATCCCCTTCCAGGCAGCTTGCATGCTGACCCCCACTCCATCCTCTTTGCACCACCCCCCAACCCCACACCCAACCCCAGCACCTTCTGTCAAATACTTCTTAAGAAAACAGCCTCTTCCAGGGCATCCGAGAGATGCATGATTTGTTCTCCGAGGCCCCACTCTCTGTCCCTCTGGCTACAAACAGCCCTCAGGCCTTATCTTGACTGATAATTTGCAGCCTGTTGAGCTCATCCTGAAGCTGACAGGTTTTTCCCTAAATAGCACATTTTTAATTGATTGCACTCCTAAACTTCCTTTTACTTTCCACTCCTACCTTCTGGGTCTACAGCCTTTACCACATCATCCAGGGCATGGTCCCACTTCCTGACCTTACTTTGCTCTCACTATAGTATCCTGACAAGAATCAGACATTCAGGCAGGCAGATCTACGTTTAAATTCCAGCTCCGTCACTTATTAGTTGTAAGATCTTCAGCAAGTTACTTAATCTCCTTGAGCTCCGTTTCTCCATTTGTAAAACGGAGATAGTAATACCTCCCTCATGGAGTTACTATGAGAATTAAATGACATACAGCATATAAGGCACCTAGCCCAGTGCCTGCACATAGTAGGAGCCCAGTAAATATTCATGAGGAACAAGAAGCATAATTTGTAGGTAGCACTAATGCGCAGACTATGTGCCCTCTATTATGTGTATCAGATGCTCCAGAAGAAGAAATGTAAGCATCTTAAGGAGCTTAGAGTCCAGCTGGGAAACAGGAAAGGAGAAAAGTTCAGTTTTAACAGAAATGACTTCAAAATACTATGAGACTACAAGGCAGCAAGAGATAGTATTCCTCGATGCGGATGGAGAGCAGCAAGTGCAAAAGCAGCCCAGTGGAAGGAAAGGTCATGTTAGGATAGGAAGGCTGTGAGTGGTGGATAGGCATGACTTGACCAGGCCAGGATGCTCCAAGGTAGGAAATGGTGTAGCAAAGTCGGGGGCACAGTTGGAAGACAGAGAACAGGCTGAGGTTCGGGCTGAGGCAGGTCTGATTAGGACCAAACTGTGGGGACTTTGATTAATCTGATTCCATCACATCGGCAAAGTTTGTCAACTTGTGTGGGTGGAGGTGGTGGTAGTGAGGGAGTTTAGGGAGTGTGAAGTTTAGGAGCACATTTGCAGAGAGGAGTCAGGCCACACTGCCATCCCTGGACATGTCTGGCCCAGGATGGGAGGCTGTCGGGGGAGCTGGGATGCACTTGATCTCTGCTGTAAGCCACGTGCAGCCACAAGCAGGCTCTGGGCAGAGGAAGAACATGAACACTGGACTTTGCAACATTACTCTGGCTGTAGTGTACAAGCTCAAGGGCAGTGTTGGGATGATGGACCTGACTGGAGCCTGGGTTGGAAGAGACATATGTGATTCATGTTTCTTGGAAGAAGCAGCAAGCTTTGATGACAGACGAGGAGGTGAAAATAAATAACGGGGGAGGTTTTATGCTTGGGTGACTGAAAAAATGGCATCAGGAGAGAGAAAATCAAATTTAGGGGGAAGGGAATTTTTAGACACATGGAGATAGAGCTGATTAAGAGACATTCAAGTGTTGATGAAAATTGCTAATAATTAACATCATCAAACACTTCCTGTGCCCAGTTTAATTCTCCCCCAAATAGGGGCCATTATTATCCTCATTGTTCAGATGAGGAAACTGAGGGCTCATATTCTCATCTATTAGGCTGGAGGGACCTTCTTCCCATTCATTCAGGAGAGGGGTGGCTAAAGATGGAGGTGATCAGAGGAGACTGAGAGGAGAGCTGAGGAAGCACAGGTCCTTTGTCCCAGACTTCTTAGCAGAACAGGAAATAAAACCAAAATCCCAGATGGAAGGTTTTGGGGGAAATCAGGAGTGTTGGTCTGAGCCAAGGTGAGGCTTAGGAAAACCATTTGGAAAATGCACCGCAGAGTCAACCAGAGAGGCAGTAACAGGGCTTGGCTGAAGTTACCATGCTGTTGTAATGGGCCCACTCTGAACCAGGAGCTGGGGCACAGAAAGCACTCTGGAAGAGCTGAGGGGCTGGGAGCCCAGGGGTCAGGGATGGCCGACAAAGGGGTCCAGGCAGAAGTCCAGCACAGCCACAGAATGGGAAGGGGTCCCAGGGCATGCTGAGTTTGGTTTGGAGCTCAGAGCGACATTTGCATTACTCGGTTTGTTAGAAATGCAGTTCAATTCTCCGATGGTCCATGGAGGCAGGGCAATGGTGGGAGAAGCCTGAACTCTGGAGCCTGACAGACCTGGATTTGGTTTCTGGCTGTGTCCCTGAGGAGTCCCCTGGTCTTTAGTAAGTAGGCCTGGCTTGGGTGGATGGGGTACCATTCCCTGCAGGAGGTATCCCTGGAAGAGGAGTGGGGTTGTATGGAGGACACGGAGCGTGTTAGGTTAGGCTTTGGGGCATCCAAGGCACAATGTCCAGTAGGGAGGTGCACAGAGGTGGCTGGGCTGCAGCTGTAAATGGGAGTCATCAGTAACAGATTACACAGGAGGAGAGGGTGGGTAAGAGGAAGAGACACTCTGGAATAGGACCCTGAGAGGCCACAGCATAGGAGAGCATCAAGATTAAGACAAGACCAGGAAGGAGACTGGGAAGGAATTGCAAAGAAGTAGGAGGAAGCCCGGGGGTATGGGGTTATGGAAGCCAAGCAAAGCCTCTTACCAAGGCACAGAAACTTCCTGGGCTCACTGGCTTCAAGAAGAGGTGAGCTCCCCTTAGAGGTTAAGATGCAGGCCCTCCCTGGGAGTCCTGAGTTCCTGCTCCCCGTAGGTGAGTAGCCCAGGGACCTTTCTTGTCCCAGGGACAAAGAACACATCTGTTCAGGAAGCCCTGATTTCAGCCTGCCCTGGCTCCTGCTTAACAGGTGGACAGATCCCAGGTGCACCCCACACTGCCAGCAGCCACTGCTGAGAAGTGAGAGAAAGGTCTGTGATTCTGTGTGAAATCCCTGCTTCCCCTCCTCCCTTCAGCCTCATCAATAAAGAACAGGCCTGATTGGTAAGCTGTAGGGAGCAGCCAGGTCATGCATGGGTCAGGAGGCTGTGCAAAAGCCCCTGCCCCTCCTTCCCTTCTGTCACAAATTCCTAAGTACAAAGGGGCACTGGCTCCAGGGCTGCCCCAGCAATGCCTGGAAAGACTAGAGGACCCCCCAGGGAAAGATGGTTCCGAGGTCTGCAATTCTCACCCCTGGAGGGCTTCAAAGCAGCAAGGGGGCGCTCCCTTATAGAAGGCTCTTGGATGAAACTAGACACAGAGAGAATCTACCGGAAGGGTACAGACCAGCCCAAAGACCTGGTCCCTTTCTGCCTCCTGCATCAGCGCAGCGAGGTACTCTCCCATCTAATCTTCACAGCCATGTGAAACAGACATGGTCATCTTCTCAGTTTTTGAGAGACCAGCCAAGGCTGCGATCCAGGTATTTTTACTCCGTATCCCAGATTCTTCTGTAATACTGGAAACCGGTCTGATGCTGCTGCTGAAATAGTAACTCGGCACAGAACCTCCCAGCCTGGGCGATCCCTCCCTGGCTTCAGGGTCTCCCAGAGGGTGTACTTAAAATAGAACACTGATAAGTTAGTATATATATCAGCTCTAACACTTTTTTTTTTTTTTTTTTACATTTTGGAACTAGAAATACATGAACACCCACTGGTGAGAGAAATGTAAAAGCATGCATGGTTTTTATGGTGAGACACGAAGCACATTTCCATGCTGAAGACATTTCCTTTAAGCCCTGGAATGAATTGGGTGAATTCCCAGACATGGCAGATCAGCGAGTCCCAGGGATACAGAAGCAGCCTGCTAGCAAAAGTGACATCACTCTCACTGAAGTCATCAGGCCACTGTGGCATTAGCTCCTGGGTTTAACACACTTTCAGGAAAGAAATTAACATTTACTGACAGCCTACTATGTGCAATGTTGTTAATATTTATTATCTTACTTGATTCTCAAAATGACTCTGTAATGGAAAGCAGGAACTCAAATAGGTATTTGTACACCCATGTTCATAGCATTCACAGCAGCTAAAAGGTGGTAGCAACCTAGGTATCCATAGACAGATGAATGGAGAAGCAAAATGTGGTTATCTACATACAATGGAGTATTATTCAGCCTTAAAAAGGAAGGACATTCTGACACCCGCTGCAACATGAATGAATCTTGAGGACCTTATGCTAAGTGAAACAATCCAGTCACAAAACAACAAATACAGAATGATTCCATTGATATGAGGGACCTGGAGTAGTCAAATTCAGAGACAGAAAATAAGATGGTGATTGCCAGGGACTAGGGGAGGGAGGAATGGGGAATCACTGTTTAATGGGAACTTCTTATTCATTCACCCTCATCAATAGAGAGCCAGTGGGGAAGATGAAAACGTTTTGGAGGTGGGCAGTGGTGATGGTTGCACAACAATGCGAATGTACTTCATGCCACAGAACCATACGCTTAAAAACAGTCAAAACGGTAAATTTTATGTTGCATGTTTACACAATAAATACTTTTTAAAATAACTCTAGGGGAGGGGTTACTCCTCTCATTTTACAGATAAGAAAACTGGGGCCTGAGAAAATCACATAGCCAGACTCTAGAGCCCCCTGATTTCCTTTACACAATGCTGGAGTAGCCCTGGCCTGACGGAGGGGCTCCCCAGCTCCAAGATTCCTCAAAGAATGGAGAAAAACCCAAGTGAAATCGGACCTAACTGCAGCTTAGAAACAGAGGGGTAAGTGCGGCTTGGGCTTGAATTACAGGGCGAAAACTGAGAATTGTGCCAACATGTAAAATGATGAAATGAGGAGCTCCAGGCTTCTCTCTAATCCAGAATGATTATCTTCACTGCCGAGCATCCAATTTAAATTCATTGTGTTTAATACAAAGCCACAGTACGGAGCCGGCTGGCTCCCGACATGCGGTTTCCATGGAGACTGGAGAGGCTCCTCAGAGGAGCTGTGTGGCATAGGGAATGTGGCTGCCAGCTTCCGGAGAGCCGCTCTGAAACAGAGGCACACTGAGAGGCCCTTTGTCACCCACATCCTTAGCAAAACCCCTTCTAACCCCAAAAAGGGACGTTTACAGGCCAGCAGGCCATGATGATGTTTATTAAACATCCAGGCTACCCACGGATGCCAGAGAGCAATAAGACACATGTAACTCCGCTTTCTCCATCCTTCAGCTGCCTCAACGTGGCAAGACCCTCATTTTAGTCCCAAAGCTAAGGTGTGACAGTGCCATAAAGCTGACGAGAGGCCGCCCTGGAAATGTGGTTTCCAGGAACGGGGGCTGTGAGTCAATGGGCGGCAGACAGGCCTGCCCTGCCCTTATTAGCTTGGCAAGTTATTTCACCTCTCTGGGACGCTGCTTTCTGCCTGCAAAGGAAGGATGATAAGATCTGCCCGAGGGGCCTTCAAAGATCAAAATAAGTGATGAATGGGTGTGGAAGTGCTCTGATGGGTGGGCCTGAGGTCTGGACCTGACAGCTCAGGGGCATCCCGATTGCAGAGGGGTTGGGGGATGGACGCCTAACCTCAGGTCCTGTGAGAACCATGTGCTGCCACGCACCAGCTCGGGGTCTGTGGTCCCAGATCCCCTCAGGGGCTGAACACACCCCATTTTGAGCACTGTATTTTCCACCTGGTGGGAAAAATATATTCTTTGATGGCCACTAAGTCTAGGGCTTTGAGATTGAGAGCCAAAGTGCCCTCCTAAACCTAAGTCCTGGAGTGTGTTTTGCCTGGCAGTGTGAGAATCAAGGCACTAAACCAGAAAAGAGAAGCTCCAGCCCAGGCCTGACGGTAACAAAGGATTCTGTAAAGAATGGAAACCTGACTGAGGGAAAGGGAGAGGGGCGATGGTTCAGTGGTTAGATTCAGTCCAGGAAAAGTTTAATCCCAATCTAGTCCTTTCAGGAGCCCCCAGCCTACCCCTCTTCTCCACCAACTCTAAATCTAAGGCAAGAGGAAGCATGCGCTCTTCCCCTTGATGTCATTGTAATTTACTTTAAATTAGACATGGATGATACGAAGACAATATATTTACATCAATATTTATAATCATGTCATAGATTTTTCCCTCCAAATAACTTGAGAAAATTTTAAAGAAAATTCCTGACTTTTAGCCAACAGAAAGGGACCATGTTAAGGACTGAGAATGTTGATCAAGTGCTTGGTTAATGCATTCGTTTCTCTATGTTTTTGATTTGCAGCCTGCACTAAACTATTTGCTTCCAAGGACATAAAATAGTCATACAACTTTGAAAAAGAACAGAGTTGGAAGACATACACTGCCCGCTTTCAAGACTTACTGTAAAGTTACAATAATTAAGAGACTGTGGTATTGGTGTAAAAATAGACAAACAGATCAAAAGAAGAGAAGAGTCCACAAATAGGCTGGCACATGTATGGTCAATTGATTTTTGACAAGGGATAATCTTTTCAACAAATGGCTCTGGAACAATTGGATAGCCATTTGCAAAAAAAAAAAAAAAAAAACTGAACATAGATACCACATACCATGTATAAAAATTAACTTAAAACAGATCATAGACTGAACTGTAAAAGCTAAAATTACAAACTTCTAAAAGAAAACATAGGGGAAAATCTTAGAGACCTTGGATTCTGAAAAAATTTCTTGATTATAGCACAAAAAGCATGAAGTAGAAATAAAAAAATCGATAAATTGGACTTCAAAATTAAAAACTACTGCTCTTCAAAAAACACTTAAGAAAATGAAAAAGTAAGTAACAGACTGGGAGAAAAATTTGCAAAACATATATCTAATAAATGGCTTGTAATTAGACTATATAAACAACTTTTGGGCTGGGTGTGGTGGCTCACACCTGTAATCCCAGCACTTTGGGAGGCTGGGGCGGGCAGATCAACTGAGGTCAATCATTCAGGACCAGCCTGGCCAACTGGTGAAACCCTGTCTCTACTAAAAAAAAAAAAAAAAAAAGAAGAAGAAGAAAGAAAAAAAGAAAACAACTCTTATATTCAGATTTTTAAAAGCCAACAACTTACTAAAACATGGGTAAAAGGTGTGAGCAGACACTTCACTGAAAACATATAGAAGGCATATAGGCACATGTAAAGACATTCAACACTAGTCACTAAGGAAATGCACATTGTAACCACACTGAGATACCACTACACACCTATTAGAACGGCTAAAATTAAAAAGACTGACCACAACAAGTGGTGGGAATGATATGGAGTCACTACTGATGGGGAAAAAAAAATTGTTACAACCACTTTGGAAACCAGGTGGCAATTTCTTAAAAAGCTAAATGTAGACCTACCATAAAACAGACACATTCCACTTCCGGGTAATTACCCAAGGGAAATAAAAGCCTATGTCCACACAAATATATGTATATGAATGTTCACAGTAGCTTTATCTTTAACAGCCAAAAACTTAATACTACTGAGCGAAAGAAACCAGACAAAAAAAGGAATGCATATCGCATTGCTCCATTTATATAGAAATAGTAGAAAATGCAAACTAATCTATAGTGACATAAAATAGTGGTAACCTGGGGTGAGAGCTGGGGGAAAATTACAGGAACACAAAGAAACTTTCAGGAATGGTGGATATGTTTATTATATTGTGATGGCTTCTTGATGTATGTATATGTCAAAATGTATCAAACTGTATACTTTAAAATGTGCAGCTTATCAAACATTAATTATACCTTTTTTTTT